>NC_000010.11:50749155-50900671 GCF_000001405.40 Homo sapiens
TTGGCCAAACATTCCTATGTCTATTGTTGCAAGGGTTAATATTCTTAGAAGATAACTTACTTGATTAAATAGAACAAAATCTATAAAGGCACCCTAAATTATAGAATTTATAATAAATAATGTCCAAAATATGAGTATAGCAAAAAAACCGTTTATTAGAAATCATTAAATGAATTTTTACTTTCAGGGGGAAGTTGCTGAAGTTATATTTGTAGGTGCTAACCCGAAGAATTCAGTACAAAACCAGGTAGGTATCAATGATTTTCTTTTACAAATGTAAATCCACTTTTTAGCCATTCATTCATTTAAATATCCCTCTAGAGGTTAATAACATAAAGACAAAATGTTCCAACTTGTTTTCCATCTTATTTTGTAGGTACGGGAAAATATTCAATAGGTAGTTAATGTGGATTGAGTCTGGGTAAAAGCACACAGGAAACATATAATTGGCTCCACTTAGGACCAAGTATAGCATAATGCATGTATGACTGCATTGTCTGTCAAGAAGATGTTAAGTTGAATACAATCCCATATATATAATTATGCGCCACATACAATGATGTTTCAGTCAAAGATGAACTGCATTTATGACATTGGTCCCGTGAGATTATAATACTCTACTTTTACTGTACCTTTTCTACGTTTAGGTATGTTTAGATACACAAATACTTACCATTGTGTTACAATTGCCTACAACATTCAATACAGTAACGGGCTGTACAAATTTGTAGCCTAGGAGCCACGGGCTATACCATATAGCCTAGGTAGGAGGTTACACCATCTAAGTTTGTGTAAGTCTAAGTCTGTGATGCTCATACAATGATGAATTTGCCTAACAATGCACTTCTCAGGATGTATCCGATATATGACTGTATTCAAATATATAGAACTCTACCAAATGTTGTGAAATAGTCAAAGGGCCAACTGAAGGATGTGTGTCTTTGGCTTCTTCTTCTCTTTTTGGCTCTCTCCTCCTCCTCTACACTACTATCTCTGGTCCTACCTGTACTGTTGTGGAACGGTCACAGATCCCCAGGTGTATACTCTCCTGGCTTGGAGTCCTGGTGCATGTGCTTTACTTTATCTTGCATTGGCCATTTCCCTATTATTTACTACTGGTGCTAATAGAGCATTTATTTATTAAACCTAAAAAATGACATTCAAAATACATGCCCAATGTTAAAACAATATAGAAGTGTAGAAAATAGAATATATAAGTGCTCTTCTACCCACAAACCTGCTTTCCAGAGGTAATAGCTGTTAAGAGTTTTTTAATAAAGCATTTTAGACTTTTTTGTTTTTATCATATGTATGATAAACTATATACATATGTAATATATCTATTAATAAAATTAATGTATACTTGTATAACTTCCTTAAAATATACTTATAACTACACAAGCAGTAACTGGACACATTCTAGTTGTAAAACCTCAAATAATAAAGGAATTTATAGTGGAAAAAGAGTGGGCATATGACTGTGATTTCGAGGTCATGGTTTTCACTGTGGCTGAGGATGCATTCCTTATATCAATTAGCTGTTCTTCCCAGGGCCTATAGTCACTTATAATCCAAAAATACCTTCCTTCCAAAAGAACCTTCCCATTCCTGTTTTTAAAATGTCATTATTGCCAAGATAACAATTGTGGCAATATGACATTCTCAAATATGACATTGGAGGAAAGTCTTCTACTTCTTAGGTAGTCAATATGCACCTGTTTGAAGTAATTTCTTTAGTAAGTGAATCTGTGCCACAATAGTTACGTGTTCATAACATTATTTTCTGAAGATATCAAAGTGTTATATCAAAACTGCATGTTTAGCTGTCACCTGATATCCCTAGGGTAGAGAAATTCTATCATCATTATTGCCATGGAGAAGCAGGAGAACAAAACCTTTAAACTACTATAGTGGTAATAGAATTAATTTCAAAGAATGCTCTGGGACTTGGTATAAAACAATTTCTATCACCCTTCTTCATTAGTAGTTATCATCACTATTTATGGAATGCTTACTATTTTGCAGGTAGTATTTGCAAGTATTCCTATTAAAGTGCTTTATATGCATTATCACATGATTAATTCCATCCTTACGACTACCCAATGAGTTAAGTTTTATTACCCTTACTTTCCAGATGAATAAACTGAGGCCTAGAGAGATAAAGTAACTTATATTATGCATAATTAATGTATGCACTACCTAATTATGCATCTGGAAGAGATTACGGTAGAGCAGTTGGGAAAAGATTGTCATATGTTTTATCCCTGGTATTCAGAGGCCTAGACTTGTTCTTCAGTCTCTACTCTAGACATATTCAAAAAGCCCACCATATCTTCTCCATCTAAGGCCTTCCCAATGTCATTTGCCATAAATAGACAGAAATAACTCTCTTTACAGGTTCCTATGGTTATGAAAACTTCCTTATTGAATGTAATTCATCAGTTGAATACTTAAAGAAGAATTTTAAACAATTACATGGCCCACATGTAAATAGGTGATACATTTAGCAAGGGGTTATTTGAGCACCAGTAAATGACAGATGTAAAGAACTGTGATAAATATAAGTGAATTAGACATGTACCTTTTAGGGTCACAATCTCAAGGATTTAAAAGGATACTAGAAATGTATAGCCTTTGTCTTTATTAACTTGTCATATCATTCAAATCTGTGCTTTGTTTGAAGCTGAATTCTTGGTCTGAAACAAATTCTTCTATTATAATAATCTTCCAATGGGGAAATAAAATCTTTTTATGATGTGGTTTCTAGAAATCTATTATAAAAAATCTAAAGACCTCCTTTAGTACCCCAGGATAGGGAAGATTTATGTATTCTTTTCAATTCTTTCACTCAGGGAGGTACGTTAACTAATAATTCATTCACCTGGAGATGGAAAGTAGACTAAACTTTACCATTTTCCCTTCTAACTTTTGAGGTGACTAGAGAAAGTCTTGGGATATATAGATCAATAAACATATCATGAAAAGGCTTGACTTATACCTTTTTAAAATCTCAGGTAAGTTTTATTCCCAGCCTCTTTTCTGCCCTAATTTCCAAAATTTGCTACTAACTCTAAAATTACACTTCTTTCACATTTCTAAAAAAATCATGTTTTTTAATAGACTGGATAAATTAACATTCTGAGTACATTGCATAGAATGTTAAGAGGAAAGCCTAAGAATTTGGATGAAATTCTAACACATTTTCACACAAGGTATTGGTAGGCTAACATATGGTCAACAAGGGGAGTATTTACAAACAGGTTCCTTCTGTGACTGTGCAGTACCTGATCAGGTTTATTAATTGCATTTCAGACCCATCAGACCTTCCTCACTGTGGAGAAATATGAGGCTACTTCAACATCGTGGCAGATAGTGTGTAATGATGCCTCCTGGGAGACTCGGTGAGCACATTTATTGAATATTTTTGTCTTTCAAGCTTCGAAACCAGTTGGCTTGTAATGCTGGGAAGACAAATGAAAAGACTGGCTCAGTACAAGGTATTAATGATATCAAATTCCCAAGGAGGTTTCTGGACATATTTAGTTGATTTATTAGATTTCATTTTGATTCATTTTTCTGCAAAACAGTGTGGTGTGTGCTTCTGTAAGATTAGGTGCTAATGAGGTTATGGCTTCCATTCTTACAGACATCTGTTCTGTTTTTTTTCCCCATGGACACAGGTATTATTTGTAAAATCTAACTGGCTTCCTTGCAAATTGGTTGAAAGGAGTATAGAGTAAAAGTGTTGAGATGTCTCTGTAGAGCTTGATATTTCTATAGGGAAAATGAGTCTATACCTGACATGTATTGCATGTTTGTATATGATCAATGATTCTTCATTTGAGTTACTAAAACACTAGAGGCTTGGGTGTTTAACTCTTAATGACTTGAGTGAGGAGATAATATATTCAGGCAATTTCTCCAGAGAGACATATCTCTTTGCCTTTTGCTACCAAATTCCTGAGCTGAATAGATATTTTGAAGATTTGATAATGTGTCTGAAATAAGACAATACTTCTGTTCCCAAGTCTATAAATTTAACATTCCATGACAGTGGCATGGAAGTAGGTACAGTTTTTGGCAATTTGGGTCTAATTCAGATTGCCTCAAACTAAGTGATATTAGTTTGTTAAATGTAAATATGTTAGTATGGTTCAGATGGTTAATTGAAAATAGGAATTTGACCATGGCCCATATACAAATATGGGCAAAATTTTTCTTTGGTATTTAGAGCTGTAGAGTATAGGTACATTTTAAAACAAGTAATGTATATTTATCGTTGAAAAGGTTATACAGGTAATAAAAAGAATGATTTATATTTAAATGCTCAAAGTTTTTAGCTAATAGCAGTCAATACTGAGGATATGTTTAGATCTCTGCCTTGTTCATTAGCAGCAGAATAATCAAATATTTGTTGAGAGTACTGAACCCATCACTGAGAAACACAGAATGTCGAGCACACTCTCTGTGCCCAAGAGATTTACTTTCAGCATAACTGAGGATATCAGTTAGCCCATTGTATCTCACTGAGTCTAGAAGAGTGTCTGAACTCTCTGCTGTGATCTGCAGGGGCCAACATGATCTGGTTCCACCTGTTTCTCTCATCTCAAGCACTCTTCCATGGTTTACCATTCCCTGTACCAACTGACCTGCTTTCTGCTTTGTGGCCACATCAAGTTTGTTCCTGCTTTGGACACTTTGTATTTTCTGTTCCTTCTTGTTAGAATGTTTTTTCCTCCAGATTTCTGCAGACTCAGTTTAAATGACATCTCCCTAAAAAACTTCCATCTTGTTTTCTACACTAAACTTGTCATTCTTAAGATTTTTATATTTATTGCTTTTTGTTTATTGCATTTATTTCCATCTTCAACTCAGTAGAACATAAGCTTCATGAAACTTGGGACCATATCTATCTTGCTCCTTACTGTACCCTCAGTACTTCTAGAAGAGAGTCTGACATGTATTCATTTTCTATATATATATATACATATATATATGTATACACACACACATATATATATATAGAAAACAAATGAATCTAGATGTGAAAATAAGTGTCAGATAAGGGCTAAAAGAGTGCTTTGCAATTCTACAGCAGGAGAGACATCTTGTGGCTATCAGGTAAGGTTTCCTGGGGTGAGTATAATTTAGGTAGGTAGAAAGGTAGAACAAGTAAAGCTGTTTCTACAAATTGCTGTTCTTTAAAGTTTCTCTTCTAGAAAATAGACGTTTTTGTCTGTTTTGTTCATTGCTGTATCTTCAATGTCTTGATAGTGCCTTGCTCATTGTAGGTATTCTCTGAATATTCATTAAATGAATAATCATGTATTTTTCTAATTAAACATTTTTAAGAGTAAAATTGAGTTTTGCTTGCTTGTTTGTTTTTTATCAACAGTTTTTATTGGCACAAGGGACTCCTGGGTCTGAGTAATGCAACAGTGGAATGGCATATTCCAGACACTGCCCAGCCTGGAATCTACAGAATAAGATATTTTGGACACAATCGGAAGCAGGACATTCTGAAGCCTGCTGTCATACTTTCATTTGAAGGCACTTCCCCGGCTTTTGAAGTTGTAACTATTTAGTGAAAAGTTGATAGATCATTTAAAGAACAGCTTTACTCTCTACACATTATATAAGTGATTTCAAATGAATGTGAACTAGTGAACTACCATGTTGACTTCTATAATCGTCCCTGTTTGGGGACAGATAGTTTACTGCTAATGGGGTGGAGGGGTGTGTGTGTGTGTGTGTGTGTGTGTGTGTGTGTGTGTGTGTGTGTATGTGAGAGAGAGAGAGAGAGAGAGAGGTTTGTCCCATATATCTTGTTCCAGCAGCCATATATCTTGTGGTCTACAGCCTAAAGCATGATTTCCCTTGAAGTCTTGGGGTTGTTTAAAGGAGAGTCCCTTCAATATAAAACCTCTGAAATATTAGTGAGAATGGCTCACTAATGTGAACAATGTTTAAATTATTTATTTATATATAGAATTACTGAATATTAGTACTGGGAAAATTTATAGAAATCATCTAGTCTTACCCTTCATCTTACATATAAGAAAAATGGTCTTTTCTTCTAATCACATTTACAAAATATGATATAAACCTTGACCATGAATGTATGAGCCTAATTAGAGAAACAGAAAATCAGCATGTCAGTTTTCCTTCATTCAAAATAACATAGTCTTTCTAAGCAGTCATTCTGGAGTTAACATGCCTAGTTCAGAGCCGCTGTGGATGCTCAAATCATTTCTGGAATTGCCTTCAGGACACAATTATGAGAAAGTCAGACTTCCAATATTTTGATCATGCCTTGTGTCTTCCTAAGTGTCCTTATCCCACTGGATTGTGTCTCTTACTCCCAAGACTTATTCCAAATGATTTTTTGACTCTTTTCATTAATCAAATTCACCCCAAACCAGAAAGTTTTGCCATTAGCGTAGATATTAAAAATATTACTGGCTGGGAAAGCACTCCTCAAAGCAGAGGTTCTAAATTAATTTATCTGTTCTTTTACCATTTGCTCACTCACTCACTCATGGACCCATTCAATCATAGAATATTTAAGATTTATATGCCCAGAATTATAATAGTGCCTAGGCCTTGATAATTAGTGAATTTGTACTTGGGGTGAATGTGTAAGTGTCAAAAGGTAACTATTATGAAGGAGAAAATAATCGATTTAATATGTAAATTCTGGGGAGGCATTTAAAAAATCAGTAATCTTCAAGTTATATCTTGTGTATCATCTGTGTTGGATACTCTAATTTGGGGGGAAAGAGGCTCCAGACAGTTTGCTAAATACTATTTTGAAAGTTATTTTTGGGCATTGTAAAATACCTTGCTTCATACCCCAAAGAATAAGATATGACAATCTGACATCGATTGTCTGAAAGTACTAATTGCATTTAAAATTCTTTAAGTTAACTACAACCTCCCAGACTGCAAAGCAAATTTCCAAACCCCAGGTCATACTTTTGTATGTATGTAAAAGCTTTAGCATTTTAGGGAAAAAAATCAATCTGTATTTCAAAAATAAACTTTGAGGTTTGAAAATAATAACAATATTCATAATGGTAGTATTAACATCTATTATGTATAACTTAATCTCAACATAATTTATTGAATTAGAATGAACCTGGAACACTTTTTGATGAATTGGTATCCTAGAGGCTGTTTCCTTGGGCCTTAACTGCTGGAGGATTAGGTAATCAGGGATTCCAAGTGTTGTGATCTTTTTTCTGATGACGCCACAGTCTTCAGTGTAAAAGTTCAGAAGCCTAAAAGAACAAGTGATCCTGAAAGTAGCTGATTCCAGACAAGAAAATTATATTAGAACTCATGATATGGTTTTTTAAAGTATTTGTTATTACTCAGAAGGGTTCATGAATCAGTTTCCACTACCTCTATTCCTTCTATTGAAGCTTTCCTCAAATCTACTTGTGATTCCTGATAGCTCACTGGCAACTGTACCAAGGTGGCCACTGTATCATCTACTGATCCTTCTGCACCTAGCACTCTTGGCTCCAGATAACGCACAGAAACCTATTTTCTCACCAGCTGTCATTTCTTCTAGGGCATGCAGTTCTATGTTCACAGTTCATGTGTAAAAATAAAACCAAATTCCTGGATTATCAATATCAGTTCTTTACCTGTGCATAAAAGAATATCATGAAGTAATTGAACTTATCTGTTGATATAAAAACACAGATCCAATTCGTGTCTGTGGATGCTGCAAGGACTGGCTCACTGGAGCCAAACCATGTGGCGGAAACTCCTGAAATTGGTGGAAAAAGTGGAATATGGCAGATTGGGTAGGTAGGAGAACAATTTTGGAGATTTTGTTTCTCATGTTAAAGTGTCTGCATTTTATTTGCTGTACCCTGCCTACTCTGGTTTTAAGGATTTTTTGACTTCTTCGAAAAGCACTGAATAATCTCTTTGCCGGGTCTAGATTTTTTGATGAGTACTGTGTAAAATTGTCAATATTCAATGGATTATTTAATAATAAATTAAGAATTACACTCATAAAAGTATTGTCTAATGAAAGGTAATGTAGACAAACGAACACTTTTTTAAAAAAAGAGGTGGAACAAAAGGTGGTAGATTACATGTAAATTAGGTTGGAAAGTGATACAAATGACTTGTAAATAACCACTGAAGCACAAGGGAACCACTTCTTTATCAGTTCCTTTCTAACTTCTGAAGATGTACTGCTGGTAAAGCACATGTATGGTTGGCATTTCTTTTATTTTCTTTCTCTTTTTTACTAGTTGGGCAAAAAAATTTCCTAGGCAGGTAGCTAACTATGAAATTGTTTCCTGCGCTAATTCTGAACAAAAAGACCAAGAATGAATTTACTTATGAATGTCCTTTTCTAATGTGCCCTCTTATGCTTCTCCTCCAATGTAAGCAAGCTTACTGTCTTTTTCTAAGATTAGCGCATGGATTCTATCTTTAGCCAAAAGGTTTCATCACTAGATGAACTTCTCATGTGTTTAGTTCTTCCAAATGATGCTCTTGCTTCCTGGGTATCCAACCTGACTTGCTGGTTTATATTGGCTTCCAAAATTTTAGAGTGATAGGGTATCGGAGAGGGAAATTTGCACATTCCTTATGCAATTTGTTAGTATGCATTCAGCTGTAACTCAGAAAATATTCCTGATCAACATGCATCCAAACACTAAAGACATTTATAACCTCACATAGCAGTAAGTCTTGAAGTGATAAATTCAGGTTTGGTGCAGCCACTCAGTGGCTCTTCTTAATATATTGACTTAATTCTTAGGCTTATCCTCTTAGCTAAAAGATCGCTACCTCAAGTCTACATATAATTGAATGCGGCAGCAAAATGGGAGGAGAGAGTTCTCTTTATAATCCCCTTTTAGAAGGTGGAAAATAGTAAGAACACAAGTTGAATTTTCCTTCTATTTCTTTGTTCAGAACTGTGCCACACAGCTACTCTTACCTGCAAGGGAAGCTGGAAAAAAGAATATTTAGTATTTTGTGCTTCTAGAGAGTGAGGCAAGTTCTGATAGTAAGAAAGAAGAGATAGCCGAAGTAGCTGTCATAAAATTATGTTAGTCAAGACAGATTAGTTATGCTACAACATTAGAGATTTATTTCTTGATCTCATGACCTGTCCATTGGGGTTAGCTGAAGGATCTGTTCCACATCTCATTTGAGTTCACAGGCTGACAGAGACTTCCATTCTAAACATTCTTCCATTGTGAGGGAACAGGAACAGGTGCTTCCATGATTAGGGGGAAGGGACAGGGAGAATCATGCAATAGTTCGTGAAGCTTCCACATTACTGTGCATTTTTCACTGGGCAGGTGACAGAACCAGGATATTTGCAAGCAGCCCTAAAGGTTACCACAGTGGGCAAGCAATAATATCTGCATATCCAAATTAACTGCTCTTTGAAATAATTAGAACTCGTTTTACTCTAGAAAATATATTTTGGAAAAGAACACACATTGGAATAATGACGAAAAAAATTGCTTTCTGTATTGCAAAATGTATACGTTCCTTTAACAGATTTATATCAAGCACCTATATACTTTATGGCAGAAATTATGCTAAATCCTAAGAATGAAACAATAATGAAGGCAAAGCTATTCCCTGCCAAAAGGAACTTAGAGTTTAACGAACAAAGCAAACGGATGAACAGGTAATTACTGTACAGAGTGACCCATATTGTTATTGTTCAGGGAATTAGAGAGGGCACCTAATATGGTCTTGGGGATGTTTCAGTAAGTTTCCTGGAAGAAATAACATATAAGCTAAGACTTAAAAGATATGTAGAAATTAGCTAGAAGGAAGGCAATGGTGTGTGCATGTATGTGTGTATTAGTTTGTGTTTGTGTTTGTGTACTGGGCAAATAGACTATTCCATGTAGAGGGAATATTGAGTACTTTATCAAGACTATAGTTAGAGTATAAGGAAAGAGTTGACAGTGAGGCAGCACCAAACTTTACCTTCATAAATAGCAATTTGGTTTTATACTTGTATTAGCATTTTTCCCCCTTGACATCAATGTCCTTGAATGTATTTGCCATTTGCTCTAATAATAAAATACACTTTCTATAACCAAAAACTTACCTCGACTCCCAGTTTCCAGTACCACTTAGTGTCATCCTTCTGTCTTCAGGGCTATAACCCTGTCCATAGACAAACCCATGGAATTGAATTTATTAAGAGACTTCTTTTGCTTATGTCAATTTCATATTTCCAAATCTGATTTATTTTGTTTTTTGTTTGTTGTACCTGCTAAAATGGCAAGTATAGCCAATGAAGACCATTCTCTCCCTTTAGATAGGGTTCAGAGTTCCAGCCTTACGAGTTCATAAATACTTGTGAATACTAAAAATTTGAGCCACCCTCATAAAATTCAAAGCATCTTGGCCTGCATACTGCCAAGTTATCAGGGACCCAGCTTCGGTTAGTCCTATTTCTGGATTTTTTTACCATAATGAAAAATTAGAAGCCTAGGGGTATGGGGTCAATACTAGCTAGAGGAGAATAGAAGATCTACTATCCCTGTCTGAAATCAGGTATCTGGAAACATTGACTTGATCATTTTCTCTGTCTCATTGTATTTTTCATATTCAGTATAAAAGATTTACCCTTTTTTTCCAGACCAAAATAAGCTAAAAGGACAAAAGAACTTAATAATCCAGCAATTGCAAGCTTAGGACAAAGTCCAACCACATCCCCTAAATGGCCAAGGGACAGTGGTGATAACATGGAGAAAGACACCCTTAAGTGGAATTTCAAGAAACTAGTATCTGTGATTTTATAAAGTTGATTCCACTATCATGAGGAGAATACAACCTCTGGAAGGCTTTCCTACACTGTGGACTGTATTGTGCTGACTTGTTGCCTGTCTCTTCTCAGTTTCTCTTAATGTCAATAATCCACGAATGCAAGAAATCTCACAGGGACTGGAACTTCATTTATAACCGAGGAACATAAATAGGAAGTTGTATAAAGAAAAGAAAGAACTCTACACACTGCTTTAAATGTGTCCCAGAGATTCTGGTATGTTGTGTCTTTGTTCTCATTGGTTTCAAAGAATGTCTTTATTTCTGCCTTCATTTTGTTATGTACCCAGTAGTCATTCAGGAGCGGGTTGTTCAGTTTCCATGTAGTTGAGCGGTTTTGAAATTTATAGCACTAAATGCCCACAAGAGAAAGCAGGAAAGATCTAAAATTGACACACTGACATCACAATTAAAAGAACTAGAGAAGCAAGAGCAAACACATTCAAAAGCTAGCAGAAGGCAAGAAATAAATAAGATCAGAGCAGAGCTGAAGGAAATAGAGACACAAAAAACCCTTCAAAAAATCAATGAATCCAGGAGCTGGTTTTCTGAAAAGATCAACAAAATTGATAGATCGCTAGCAAGACTAATAAAGAAGAAAAGAGAGAAGAATCAACTAGATGCAATAAAAAAATGATAAAGGGGATATCACCACCAATCCCAAAGAAGTACAAACTACCATCAGAGAATACTATAAACACCTCTACGCAAATAAACTAGAAAATCTAGAAGAAATGGATAAATTCCTGGACACATACACTCTCCCAAGACTAAACCTGGAAGAAGTTGAATCCCTGAATAGACCAATAACAGGCTCTGAAATTGAGGCAAAAATTAATAGCTTACCAACCAAAAAAAGTCCAGGACAAGATGGATTCACAGCAGAGTTCTACCAGAGGTACAAGGAGGAGCTGGTACTATTCCTTCTGAAACTATTCCAATAAATAGAAAAAGAGGGAATCCTCCCTAACTCATTTGATGAGGCCAGCATCATCCTGATACCAAAGCCTGGCAGAGACACAACAAAAAAGGAGAATTTTTGACCAATATCCTTGATGAACATCGATGCAAAAATCCTCAATAAAATACTAGCAAACCGAATCCAGCAGCACATCAAAAAGCTTATCCACCATGATCAAGTGGGCTTCATCCCTGGGATGCAAGGCTGGTTCAACATATGCAAATCAATAAACGTAATCCAGCATATAAACAGAACCAAAGACAAAAACCACATGATTATCTCAATAGATGCAGAAAAGGCCTTTGACAAAATTCAACAGCCCTTCATGCTAAAAACTCTCAATAAATTATGTATTGATGGGACATATCTCAAAATCATAAGAGCTATTTATGATAAACCCACAGCCTATACTGAATGGGCAAAGACTGGAAACATTCCCTTTGAAAACTGGCACAAAACAGGGATGCCCTCTCTCACCACACCTGTTCAACATAGAGTTGGAAGTTCTGGCCAGGGCAATCAGGCAGGAGAAGGAAATAAAGGGTATTCAATTAGGAAAAGAGGAAGTCAAATTGTCCCTGTTTGCAGTTGACATGATTGTATATCTAGAAGCCCCATCATCTCGACTCAAAATCTCCTTAAGCTGATAGGCAACTTCAGCAAAGTCTCAGGATACAAAATCAATGTGCAAAAATCACAAGCATTCTTATACACCAATAACAGACAGAGAGCCAAATCAGGAGTGAACTCCCATTCACAATTGCTTCAAAGAGAATAAATTACCTAGGAATCAAACTTACAAGGGACGCGAAGGACCTCTTCAAGGGGAACTACAAACCACTGCTCAATGAAATAAAAGAGGATACAAACAAATGGAAGAACATTCCATGCTCATGGGTAGGAAGAATCAATATCATGAAAATGGCCATACTGCCCAAGGTAATTTATAGATTCAATGTCATCCCCATCAAGCTACCAATGACTTTCTTCACAGAATTGGAAAAAACTACTTTAAAGTTCATATGGAACCAAAAAAGAGCCCACATTGTGAGGACAATCCTAAGCCAAAAGAACAAACCTGGAGGCATCACACTACCTGACTTCAAACTATACTACAAAGCTACAGTAACCAAAACAGCATGGTACTGGTACCAAAACAGAGATATAGACCAATGGAACAGAACAGAGCCCTCAGAAATAATACCACACATCTACAACCATCTGATCTTTGACAAACCTGACAAAAACAAGCAATGGGGAAAGGATTCCCTATTTAATAAATGGTGCTGGGAAAACAGGCTAGCTATATGGAGAAAGTTGAAACTGGATCCCTTCCTTACACCTTATACAAAAATTAATTGAAGATGGATTAAAGACTTAAATGTAAGACCTAAAATCATTAAAACCCTAGAAGAAAACCTAGGAAATACCATTCAGGATATAGGCGTGGGCAAGGATTTCATGTCTAAAACACCAAAAGCAATGGCAACAAAAGCCAAAATTGACAGATGGGATCCAATTAAACTAAAGAGCTTCTGCACAGCAAAAGAAACTACCATCAGAGTGAACAGGCGACCTACAGAATGGGAGAAAATTTTTGCAATCTACTCATGTGACAAAGGCTAATATCCAGAATCTACAATGAACTCAAACAAATTTACAAGAAAAAAACAACCCCATCAAAAGTGGGTGAAGGATATGAACAGACACTTCTCAAAAGAAGACATTTATGCAGCCAAAAGACACATGAAAAAATGCTTGTCATCACTGACCATCAGAGAAATGCAAATCAAAACCACAATGAGATACCATCTCACACCAGTTAGAATGGAGATCATTAAAAAGTCAGGAAACAACAGGTGCTGGAGAGGATGTGGAGAAATAGGAACACTCTTACAGTGTTGGTGGGACTGTAAACTAATTCAACCATTGTGGAAGACAGTGTGGAGACTCCTCAAGGATCTAGAAGTAGAAATACCATTTGACCCAGCCATGCCATTACTGGGTATATACCCAAAGGATTATAAATCATGCTGCTGTAAAGGCACATGCACACATGTGTTTATTGCAGCACTATTCACAATAGCAGAGACTTGGAACCAACCCAAATGTCCATCGATGATAGACTGGATTAAGAAAATGTGGCACATATACACCATGGAATACTATGCAGCCATAAAAAATGATGAGTTCATGTCCTTTGTAGGTACATGGATGAAACTGGAAACCATCATTCTCAGCAAACTATTGCAAGAACAAAAAACCAGACACCACATATTCTCACTCATAGGTGGGAATTGAACAATGAGAACACTTGGACACAGGAAGGGGAACATCACACACCTTGGCCTTTTGTGGGGTGGGGAGAGGGGGGAGGGAAAGCATTAGGAGATATCCCAATGTAAATGAGGAGTTAATGGGTACAGCACACAAACATGGCACATGTGTACATATGTAATAAACCTGCACATTGTGCACATGTATCTTAGAACTTAAAGTACAATAACAAAAAAGAAAAAGAAAAGAAAGAACTTGTGCTTTGAAGTCTGGTCAATTTAAGATTACTTAATTTCCTTTGTTTATGAAATAATAATAGTAATAATGACCTTCTATAATTGCTATGAGGTTAAGTTAATGTTTATGAGAGGGTATTTTGGAAACTAAGTGGTTCAAATCCTAGTTTCACCATTTAACCAATATTAGACCGTGAGTAAATTACTCAGTTTTGTAAAGCCTTTGTTTCTTCCTCTCAGTTGCTTAGTATACAAAAAGAGAACAATAATAGTACTTACCTTTTTAGGTTGTGAGATTAAAATAAGGTACAGTTCTTGGCACAGTGCCTGGTGTATGTATGCACTTAATTTACTTAGCTGTTAATTTAGTTAGATGTTACTGAGTATTATATGAGATATCGCATGTAAGTATCTGGAAAATTGTAGGAACTAAAAAGTTCTACCATTGAGACTGGAATCATGGTCAGCCACAATGACTATGCTTTCCCTGATCTTTTTCAAAGTTGTGCTTTGGCATCCCTGATATTAGTATAGGAAGAGTTAGAATGAGGAGAGAAATTAGTAGAATGGTCTAGACTAAGAGGTAATGAAGTCAGAACAAGAACAAGAACAATGGCTTTAGGAACAGGTCAGAAAGGTGTGGGTGTATAAAACTCCAGAGTTACAATGGACACAATATACTCATTGACTGGATAAGGTAGGGAGAAGACAGTTACAACCACCCAAACTCTAAAACATTTGGGTTATAGTAATGCTATAAACAAGAGCCAAGGTAAAAGGAAACAGATTTCAGAGAGATGATGGTAAATCTAGTTTTGGATGTCTGAGACTTTGACAAGATATAGCAAAGTCCAGCACATAGTGGGAAATGTGGAGTAGAGACACTGGAGAGAAAGTAGGGCAACAGATCAGATATATGGGAAGCATCAAACTTCAAACTGATGGTTGAAATCAAGGAAGTTGATGACTTTGCAAAAGGGAGGGCATATAAGAAAGAGAAAAGAGATTTGGATGACAGGCCTTTTGGAACCACTTACTTTAAGGAAGATGAACAGAAGCAGGGCCAGAAAGTAATATTATTAAGAAGAAACAATTAGAAGAGAAGGGGCAGTGTATTAGTCTGTTTTCACGATGCTGATAAAGACATACCCAAGACTGGGCAATTTACAAAAGAAAGAGGTTTAATGGACTTACAGTTCCACGTGGCTGGGGAAGCCTCATAATCATGGCAGAAGGCAGGGAGGAGCAAATCACATCTTATGTGGATGGCAGCAGGCAAAGAGAGAGAGGGTGTGCAGGGAAACTCCCATTTTTAAAACCCTCAGATCTTGTGAGACTTATTCACTAACATGAGAACAGCGTGGGAAAGACTGGACCCAATGATTCAATTATCTTTCACTGGGTCCCTCCCACAACACGTGGGATTTATGGGGGTTACAAGGTGAGATTTGGCTGGGGACACAAAGCCAAACTATATCAGGAAGAAAGAACTCCAAGCAGGTCAATTATATCAAACATTGTAGAGAAGCTTCAAGGGATAAGGACTGAATTAAGCCTTTGAAACTTAACAGCAATTTCATAAGAGTGGAAGGGGATTATAAGGAGTTGCGGAGTTTTATTAGGTTGACTGGCTGTGAAAGAGACCATTAGACTCCACACCACAATCTGCTCTCCCATTCTTCCACAGTGATAGTTTTAACTGGTCATGGGTTAGGACTGTATTTCCCAGCCTTGGTATAGCCCAGGGCTACCTCTAGAAGCCGGTTGTAGCCGTATAGCTAAGTTCTGTTCGATGAGATGAGAGAAGTGATGTGTTCTACTTTCCTCTTGTACTCTCAAAAGTAATGGGCATACACTGCTGATATGATTTGGATCTGTGTCCCCACCAAATCTCATGATGAATTGTAATCCCCAATGTTGGAGGTGGGGCCTGGTGGGAGGTGATTGGATCATGGGGGCAGTTTCTCATGAATGGTTTAGCACCATTCTCTAGGCACTGTTCTCATGATAGTGAGTGAATTCTGGAGAGATATGGTTGTTTAAAAGTGTCTAGCACCTCCCCACTCACGCTCTCTCTTGCTCCTGCTCCCATCATGTGAGATATCTTGCTCCCCTTTGCCTTCAGCCATGGTTGTAAGTTATTGGAGGCCTCCCCAGAAGTCAAGCAAGCAGATGTAGCACGATGCTTTCTGTACAGCCTGCAGAACTGAGAGCCAATTAGACTTCTTTTCTTTTTAAGTTACCCAGTCTCAGGTATTTATTTATTTATTTATGAGATGGAATTTTGCTCTTGTTGCCCAGGCTGGAATGTAATGGCATGATCTTGGCTCACTGCAACCTCTGCCTCCCAGGTTCAAGCAATTCTTCTATCTCAGCCTCCCAAGTAGCTGGAGCTACAGGCACATGCCACCATGCCTGGCTAATTTTTGTATTTTTTTTTAGTAGAGACGGGGTTTTACCATATTGGTCAGGCTGGCCTCAACCTCCTGACATCAGATGATCCACCCTCCTGGGCCTCCCAAAGTGTTGGGATTACAGGTGTGAGCCACCACACCCTGCCCAGGTATTTCTTTATAGCAATGCAAGAATGGACAAATACAACTCCCTTGCCCTAATTTCCTTCTTAATAGGTGTGTGGCAAACATGATGGCAAAAGCCCAGAGATGGAAACTTCATGTTGAAGATGGCAATAATATAAAGGATCCCAGGGTCCTTAATAGTTCAGTGCTGTTAAATCATCCCTAAAGTGCTTATTCTCAGATGATTAACTGAAAGGAAAATAAACTTCTATCTCATTTTTCACTGTATCATCTCATTGTTAAAGCATCTGGAACATGGATTCTAAATAACATACCTGTTACAGCCCTATGAAGGCTACCATTTATATACTTTTTCTACTGTGGTTAGGACAAATGTCAACATATTTGTATACAATCAGAAAGCAGGTCTTTACTAGTTGACCTGTGGAAAATGGTATGGTGGCCTCTTTGTTTTTTTGACTCTCTGAGTTGTTATGGGTTGAAATGTGTATCCCCAAAATGATATGTTGAAGACCTAACCCTCAGTATCTCAGAATGCAACCTTATTTGGAAATAAAATCATTGCAGATGTGATTAATTAAGATGACATCATACTGGAGTAAAGTGGGTCCGTAATCCAGTATGACTGTTGTTTTTATAAAAAAGAATGTCACATGGAGAGACACATACAGGAAGAATGAAATGTGAACAGGAAGGCAGAGATCAAAGTGATGCCTCTACAAGCAAATGATTGCCAAAGATTGCCAGCAATCACCAGAAACTAGGAGGCTGACATGGAACAGATTCTTTTTTATAGCCCTCAGAAGGAACCAGCACTGTTGACACTTTGGTCTCGAACTTCTAGCCTCCAGAATCATGAGACAATTCTGTTGTTTAGGCCACCCCATCTGTGTTACTTTGCTATGGCAGGCTTTGGAAATAAATACACTGGTCAATAGATAAATGTCTTCCCCTTTAGTCACCTACTAAAAGAGATTCTTGGGTGCCTTCCAGTTTAGAGGGCCAGTAATTATGTCTCTTCTTTACTTTCCTGGATAACATAGTCATTTTATGGCAAGTGATCTTGTCTATCATTGGTTGCCTGTGAATGTCATCTATCATTATCAAAGACTGTAGTAAATTCCAAAACTAATTTACATACGATTAAATGCCAAATGAGTCATCTGGGATGCAGCTCTAACTAAAATTTTACAGAGAATAAATATTCTGCAATTTTGGAAATTCATCTTTTATGGGTTGTGGGTAAGTGTGAATATCTATTATACATATTTACAAGTTGACAGAATCAGGATAAGTATCATTATGCATGTTTCTTCTCAGTTGCAGTTGAACTGAGTTGGTCTTTTTCCTCTCTAATTTATTATGCAAGTACTATAAGCTCTGCAGCAAATAGGGGAAATGTCAGTGTATAGTCCTTCTTTCTGTTTACATGGAGGCAAAACCAGAAAGGAATTGTGCTGTACTTTTAAAAATATGGTAGGCCTAGGCCAGGCGCGGTGGTTCACGCCTGTAATCCCAGCACTTTGGGAGGCCGAGGCGGGTGGATCATGAGGTCAGGAGATCGAGACCATCCTGGCTAACACGGTGAAACCCCGTCTCTACTAAAACTACAAAAAAATTAGCCGGGCGCGGTGGCGGGCGCCTGTAGTCCCAGCTACTCAGGAGGCTGAGGCAGGAGAATGGCGTGAACCCAGGAGGCGGAGCTTGCAGTGAGCGGAGATAGTGCCACTGCAGTCAGGCCTGGGCGAAAGAGAGAGACTCCGTCTCAAAAAATAAAAAAAAAAATGGTAGGCCTAGTTTTAAATTAAGGCAGAAGACAGTTGTATTCAGATTGTAGAAAGGCATTGCAGAAAGTAATAACAGTGTTTTCTGTAAGTGATTCACTTTACATTTAAATATGTGAATATGTTCTATTTCAGGAAATGCGTTTATGAATAGAGAATGCTTTACAGACCGTATTGAAGAGAGATCTTCCAATCTTTGGGGGGCTTTTTATTTTCTTTAAACAGTGTCCACCTTTTAGCAGAAAATGTAGTGGGGTCCTGTGGAAATACCATGTTTCCTCCTTGCTGGGGAATATGAAGCCTGCCAAGGGGAACCTGAGGATCCCCTTCCATACATATTACTCTTCCTGTGCCTCTACCATGGGAGGCGCATCGTGAGAATTCCACTGTGATTCCAACCTTAGACTGTCATTGAGTATTCTGAGACCTTAAAAAATCCTTTTATCATGGAAATTTTGAAACATACAAGCAGCTAGAGGGAATAGTCTGATGATACTCCACCTACCCCATTGTCCGACTTCAGAAGGTACCAACATTTTGCTAATGTTGTTTCATCTGTCTCCTCACCATTCTCTGGAATGGAGAGGGAGGTTGAGCTGGAGAGTATTTACCCTGTAAATACCTTGGTATATTTTTCTAACAGATAACGACTTAAGAAAATCTTAACTACAGGGTCATTCTCATGTCTGACAAAGTTAACAATAACCCCCTAACATCATCCAATACCCAGTCTGTGGTCGAATTTCCATGATTATCTAAAAAAATGTCTTTTACACTGGATTTGTTTAACCAGAGTGCAGACAAGTTCCATACATAGCATTTGGTTTCTCTCTTATGTCACTCTTAATATATAACATTTCTCATGATCTCTTCTTTCATGCCTTTGTTTGTTAAGGAAATCCTGTTGTTTATCCAGTAGATTTTCCCATTGCTTCTTCTGACAAATTGTTTATTCATGGTGTATTTTAACTTCTTCTATCCTTGCTGTTTCCTTTACATATTAGCTAGATCTAACAGTTTGATTAGATTCAGGTCAATTTTTTTTCTTTTGGCAAGAATACTCAACCAGTTCTGCCATCGCACACAGGAACAGAAGACAGCAAGAAAAATTCACTTTGACCCCTTATGATTTCATCTCCAATCAGACCAGTCAGCACTCCCCAATTCTCAAGCCCCTACCCACCAAATTATCTTTAAAAACTCTGATTCCTGAATGCTCAGGGAGACTGATTTGAGTCATAATAAAACTCTGGTCTCCTGCACAACTGGTTCTGCATGAATTACTTTTTCTCCACTGCAACTCCCATATCTTGATAAATCTGCTCTGTCTAGGCAGCGGGCAAGGTGAACCCACTGGGCAGTTACAATAATAGTCTTCAATGATCTTTTGTACTTTTATGGTGTCGGTTGTAATGTCTCCAGTTTCATTTCTAATTGAGCTTATCTGGATCTTCTCTCTTCTTCTCTGGGTTAATCTAGCCAATGGTTATTAATTTTGTTTGTTTTTTCAAAGAATCAACTTTTTGTTGTACTGATCTTTTTGTTTGTTTGAATTTCATTTAATTCTGTTCTGATCTTTGTTATTTCTTTTCTTCTTCTAGCTTTAAGTTTAGTTTGTTCTTGTTTTTCCAGCTCCTTGAGGTGTGACATTCGGTTGTCAATTTGTGCTCTTTCAAACTTTTTGATGAAGGCATTTAGTGCTATCAGCTTTCCTGTTAGCACACTTTTGTTATATCCCAGAGGTTTTGATAGCTTGTGTCATTATTATCCTTCAATTCAAAGAATGTTTAATTCCTATCTTTATTTCACTGTTAACCCAGATATCATTCAGTAGCAGATTATTTAATTTCCATGTATTTGTAGTCTTGAAGGTTTCTTTTGGAATTGATTTCTAATTTTATTCCACTGTGGTCTGAAAAGATACTTGATATGATTTCAATTTTAAAAAAAACTGATTGAGACTTGTTTTGTGAGCTATCATATGGTCTATCTTGAAGAATGTTTCATGTGCTAATGAGAAAAATTTATATTTTGCAGATCTTAGGTAGAATGTTTTGTAAATGTCTGTTAAGTCCATTTGTTCTAGCATGCCATTTAAGTGTGTTGTTTCTCTGTTGACCTTATGTCTCAAAGATCTGTCTAGTGCTATGTCTATCACTACTATTATTTTGCTATCTATCTCATTTCTTATGTGCAGTAGTATTTGTTTTGTGAATCTGGGAGATCCAGTGTTTGGTGCATATAAATTTAGGATTATAATATCTTCTTGTTGAATTGATTATCAATTCATTTGATCATTGTATAGTGACCATCTTTATATATATATATTTTACTGTTGTTGCTTTGAAGTCTGTTGTGTTTGATATAAGAATAGCTACTCTGGATGGGGGCAGTGTATCACACCTGTAATCCCAGCACTTTGGGAGGCTGAGGCGGGTAGATCACGAGGTCAGGAGCTCCATCCTGGCCAACATGACACGCCTGTAGTCCCAGCTACTTGGGAGGCTGAGGCAGGAGAATTGCTTGAACCCGTGAGGCGGAGGTTGCAGTGAGCCAAGATCATGCCACTGCACTCCAGCCTGGCAACAGAGCAAGAATGTGTCTACAAAAAAAAAAAAAAAAAAAAAGAATAGCTACTTGTGCTCACTTTTGGTTTCCATTTGCATAGAATACCTTTTTCCACCCTTTTTCCTTGAGTTTATATGAATCCTTCTGTGTTAAGTGAGTCTCTTGAAGATAGCAGATATTTGGATTGTAATTTTTTTTTAATCCATTCTGCTATTCTGTATGTCTTCTCTGTTTGTTCTATCATGAAGTTCATATTTGAGCAGATGCCAAGGCATCAGTTGATCATCACGTGGCACAAGGCATCAATTACATTTAAGCCCATCTCACTTCTTTCTTCAGTAAACTGTGATAGTTTAAGGAATAGCATAGTGTAGTGATTACAAAGGTGGGCCTAGGAGTAACACACTTTGGGTTTGAGTCCTATCCTTATCACCTATCAGCTGTGCATCCTTAGGCCCAGCTAATAAGTGTTCTATGCTTTTTCTTCAACTCTAATGTAATACTTTATCTAACCTTGTGAGGATTAATGAGATATGCATGTTAAACCCTTAGAATCCCTAGCACATAAGAAGTACTCAATATAGTTCCTAGTGTGCTTATTATGGAGCAAGTTCACTGTGCACTTGTTACCAACTTGTTTGCAGCTGGTGAGACAGAACACACTCTTATGCAACAAGTTAAATGAAGTAGATTTATTACCTACAACAGGCAGAAAGTGATAAAAGAAGCCTAGAGCCCAGGTGCGGTGGCTCACGCCTGTAATCCCAGCACTTTGGGAGGCCGAGGCAGGTGGATCACGAGGTCAGGAGATCGAGACCATCCTGGCTAACATGGTGAAAAGCCATCTCTACTAAAAATACAAAAAATTAGCTGGGCGTGGTGGAGGGTGCCTGTAGTCCCAGCTACTCGGGAGGCTGAGGCAGGAGAATGGCATGAACCCGGGAGGTGGAGCTTGCAGTGAGCCGAGATCGTGCCTCTGCACTCCAGCCTGGGCAACAGAGCAAGACTCTGTCTAGGATACATTGTGAGACAGTCCCCCAAAGTTCAAGAAACATTCCTGGGGCAGATGGTGCCTCAACTCCACGTGTCCCACTTGTGCTACAGCTGAAGGACCCAGAAAGGCAGCCTCTTCTGGATTATATACCTCAGGAGCAATGTGGCTCACTAAGCAAAACTTCAAAGAACATCCTGCTTCCAGGGGAGAGAGGAACAAAGCCTAAGCTGTACTAGGCAGTTCTTGCCTAACTCAAAATGTTACATTCCCTAGGAGGGACAGGAATAAGGCCTGGGCTATTCCATGCAATTCCTCCCTTCCTCAGGATATTGCACTTTCAGCACATTCTAGTTACTCTTAAGAACTACAAATAAGAAGGTGAGAACTTGGTCAGTCCAAGGCCACCTGGAGAACAGTCCTGCACTTATATAAATATTTTGACTTTGCTTGGAATCAAAATAGAACATTATAAATTTCTTATAGATAACCATTGAACTCCTAGAAAGACCTAAGTTTGAGAAACATGAATGTACACTAAAACCAGAAGAAGCAGCCTCCTTGAACCCTTTTGCTGTTCACAACCTAATATGAGCCCTCTAGATTGTGGCTTTTAATCTTTCAAGCTTCATGATTTATTTGTAATAGTTGAATTTTTGGTAATACATTTTAAGAGATTAAAAGGTAACCACTGATATAAAGAACAAGTTTCAAGATGGAAAGAGATCCTTATATTAGTTCTAGAACATGGGGCTGGACAACACCGTATACCTCAGTAAATACGTGCAATTCATTTTTACTACTAGAGAGGGAACACACTATTATAATGGCACCTGTCAGAACAGTGAGCCAAGAAAAAAATTGTGTGACATGTTGTAGAGGGGTAAAGAGCACTCAGTCTTCTGTAGGTAAGAGGCATTGACAACATTCAACTGGTGCCAGAGAAATGTCACAAGTTTAGTGGAACATGGAAGGACTTAGCCTTGGGGTTACATAAGTACATGGTCAGCGCAGTAAGCCATTCTACACAAATGGTGACAGAATGCTAAATGGTGATCATTTTAAGAATCTGAGAACCACATGCATCTTTAGTAAGAGTGCAAATAAATTGTGCACATTGACCAAAATTTGGCAGAGAGCTCGGCACACAGCAGCATGCTGGGGCCCATAATTTGAGGATCACTCCTGCCCTAGCTCCATGGTTCTCAACCTTGGCTGCATGTTACAGATATCTGAGGAACTTTAAAAAATGTACTAATGTTTGAGCCCACTCCAGACATTCTCAATTGATTGGTATGATGAGTGACTGAGGGTCAGGCTTTTTAAAGTTTTCCCAGGGCTTCTAATGGGCAGTCAGGGTTGAGAAAGACCATTGCAGATATTACTACTATACTGATAAGAAGAATAAAGGAGTGCTGGACTCAAGGAAGTTTGTGCCAAAGAAGACAAAGGGCATTTTGCTCCAATTAACCTTATTTATGCTTCTTCCAATAAAACCGTATCTCTTAGTAATGGGGATAGTTTTTTCTTATCCTTGTATTATGTAAATTCTTTTCTGAAGATAGGAGAGGAATCTCCACTCTCTCTGAAAGATAGAGTGGTCCACTAATAAACTTCTGGTCAACTCTAGAAGAATATTCAAGAGAGCACATACTGGCTGAACTCCTCTTAGGAACAAGGCATTGGCAAGTGTAATGAGTGGGAAAGAGGCCATATAAATATAATCCTGGGGAGAGGGACTTATTCATTACAGAATGTTTTTTATTTATGAAAATTGCAAAATAACCTAAATGTTCCTCAACAGGGAATGGTGTTCTACACAATGGAACACTGTAGTTAACATATATGAACTGGAGCTACAGCTCTCAAAATAATTATCAACATGTGAAGCAAAAAGGTAAGTGGCAGAAGCATATGTACTACATGTTAATAAAGTGCTCTTTAGATAAAGTTTGAAAACATGCATGATAATAGTGTATACTGTTTTGGGACATGAAATGGAATGAATGAGAAAATGTGTGTGAAACCACTTATACCAAATTTGGGATGGAGGTAACTTCTGGGCCATGTAAGCTCCAGGAAAGTAGGGGCTTTCTTTCATTTACTGATGTGCATCCAATCCTAGAATAGGGCTTAGCACTTAGTAATGACTGATAAATATTTGCTAGCTAAAGCAATAAATAAATGGAATCAGGGATGGATTTGCAAGGCCTTTAATTGTCAACATGACTTTTATTAAAAAAATACCACGGAGTTTGGCAAAATGCAAACATTTGACAGAACTTGATGAGTACGTGGGTGTCCATTAGATTATTATTTTGACCTTTTGTATTGGCTTGAAATATTTCACTGACATTAAAAAAAGGGGGTAGATGCAGAACAGACAAGAATTAGTATGATTGGTGGAAACAGGGTAAAGGAAAGGGGGGATTTCAAAATGACAGATTTCAAATCTGAGTTGACTGGAGAATAGCAGTGCCTTTAAGAGTTTCAACTGCTAGAAGAAAAACAGGAATGAGACTGAGGGAGGCAATACCACTTTTGGGTGCATGATATTTAAAATTATGACTGAACCTCATCTAGAAATGCCCCCAAACCCACTGAAAATGCTCATTCTGACATCATCAGTAGTTTTCGGGGAAAAAAAGTCACAGGATATAGTTTAAGAGCTTCTCCCTGTTTTTTTCCCCAAAACACGTTTAGACCACAAAATCAGAAGCTGAAAAAGCTGTCCCTGGAAATGCAATATTAATGAAGGGACCTGCCATTTGACTCATAGTTGATACCCGATTGCCTTATAAAAAAACAATGGATAAAAATTCTTTGCAACTGAAGGTGGACAGCCCTGAAGGAGGAGCAACTGGAGGGCTATGCCCTTCTGGGTCCATGGAGCAGGATTATCTTGGGCCAGCGCAAAATTGGCCTGCACAAATAGTACAGGACCCCATCAACTGTTTTTGGGTTTAATTTCTGCCTGTTCTTCCCCTCCCCATCTCCAATGATGAGTGGGGCCACCAGAGTCCAGACAAACCTTTTGTACTCGGCTATCTGAACTTGGTCCTCAGGGGCTGTACTTCAGCAGTCTGACTCTTAGCAGTAGGGCATTAAGTCAGGGTGGAATATAAACTCTTCTGCGAGAGTCAAGAGTCCTGAATTCTTGTCCTGGTTCTGTCAAAAATCATCTGATAAGCTTGGATACATTTCTTAACAACTTTGAGTATTATCAAGGATTTGCTCTTGAAAAAACTCTGAACTCTCCGGCAGGTATTAGAAATAGATTGCATCGTTGTGCCTTTGTTGTGGGATTTATAGTAGTTGCTTGGAAAAGTGTATTGAAAATAATTGAGAAATGTTGTTTGGCTCCAGTGGAAAAGTGGCTATGATTGATCAGCACTGTCTGGTCACGGGCCTGGGGTGGTGATTAGCACTGTCTGATATGGGCCGGGTCTGCATCGGTGGTCAAATGATAGTCCTGTGTTTGGCCTTCTTGAGCTAGGGAATTCTATAAATGCCAATTTTCAAGGGGTTAGGAGGCACAGGGAGAGTTTCCAGTAGGGGCAGAAAATCATTACTTACACTACTTTACCCCATCCCACTCCCACAAAATACACAAGTTCCCCTCTTGGCAGATCAACAACATCGAAACTAGAGAGGGTTAGCAAAACAAAACAAATCAGTATTCACCCAAGGATGAATGCACAGCAACTCTATGGGATTTTCTCTATGTTCAATCTGCAGTGCCATCTACTGAATCGGACAGGAAATAATGCAAAGACTGTAAAGGTAGGCCAGATGACAATGAAGGAAAATGTTTTGCTTGTTATTTAAGGCCATATATTTTAATCTCATAATTTGCCTGAACTTAATTATAGTGCTTTGATTGAGCTCTTTGGAGAGGTTCTCAAAGCCATCTTTAAAAATTCAGTATAAATAACAGTCATTCATAAGTATCTTGTCAATACACGTTAAATCATTTGTTTTCCTTTTTTGGGGGTTGGGGGTGTTTGTTTTTTAGAAATAGGTCTCGCAGTCTTATTCTGTCGCCCAGATTGGAGTGCGGTGGTGTCATCATAGCTCACTGTAGCCTCAAATTCCTGGGCTCAAGTCATTCTCCTGCCTCAGCCTCCGAAGTAGCTGGGATGACAGGCTTAAGCCACAGTGCCTGGCTGTTTCCTTTCATAAAACTACTATTTTAAATGATAGAGTTTAAGGTTAAAATATCAAAACCCAAACGTACACTTCTGATGTCGCTGAAGTCACAAAGACCAACGTGTCTTATTTGTATGTTAGTTTTAGGAGGTAAAGAAGTCTGGGTGAGAGAAGAAAGGAGGAAATTAATGTCCATTAAGGGTCTATTAGGTTTTGCTCCAAATTGGTTTTTTCAGCAGTGTTTATGTTAGTGCCATGAAAAAAGATCTATGATCCAATATGTTTGGGAATTGCTATAATAGTCCCTCTCTTGAAGATTTACCATGCACATTAGGACAACACAGGTTTCCAGGAGCTCTGAAGGCAAGAAACCTGTTTAAGTTTGTCTAATTCAGTGTTTCTTACATTTTGTTGAACATGGCCTGTTTATTTTAATGTGTTCCTAATACTGGTCTCTCAGGTGCCAGATACTGTGCTAGGGGCTTCAGCCATGTTAACTGACTACACCTCCTTACAGCCTTGTGATGTTATTCCTGTTTTACAAAGGAGGTCGTAGGAGTTGAGACAGTTGAAGCAACCTGTACAAAGCATATAGTTAGAAAACGGCAGTGCTAGAATTAAAACCCAGGCCTGCCTGACTTCTAAGCTCATGCTATTCCCACTGAATTATGTGGCCTCTCAATAGGTCATTTTGGTTTTCACGTGGTTGAGGTCAAGATCATCTGCTTGACAAGGAGAGTCACAAGAGCCCCCCTTTTCAGTTGACATTTCCCTCGGATAGAGACATTTTAAAGGTTCTTGGAGAAGCAAGTGATTTGTTCCTTTGAATGTTGGAAATTGTATCCTGTTTGTGATGAGTGGTCTTTGTGTGTCACTCCTCAAAAACACAGCCATTTACTACTCCTAAAGTTGGCCCTGTTTTGAGGGATACTTGGAGAGAAAGAATGTCTGCAAGGAATTCTTAATTTGGATAAGATATGTCACCTCTAGGTCTCTCCTAAGCTTTGGGTTTCTTAGCCATGAAAGCAGAATTTATGACTCAGTTATCTGGGATTCAACTTCCAAAGCCTCTCTCTTGAAGAGATCACAGATTTTGTACCTTACCAATAAGAAACAAATATTAAAGAACGGGCAACTCTAGAAGGTCACTTGCCCAGAGCTAATTTTTTAAGATGACTGTTTGGGTTCTTTGTATCTGAAAGTTGGTTGAGAGCTTCCCTTCAGGATAGGGGACAGGACAAGGTGGGCTCTTTGAATCCTGGCTGTGTCCCTCACTCTCTGTGCCTCGGTGGCTCAGTTTCTCCACATATCAACAGGAAATAGTGTATCTTATGTCTTTGGGCTGAACTGAGTACCAGATGAGATCCTGGATATTTCATTCTCTTATTCCAAAGTATTATGGGTCTATAAAACCCCACAAAGACAACTATGAAGCAGAGCTAGGAAAGCAGATGACAAGATTTATGAAGTATGTAGAGGAAACTTGAGTGTCTGCCTCATGTTGTAGAATTCATTTGTCCTGCTCCCTGGCTTCAATTCTTCAAATTGTGGACTTACAAAAGGGGGATGAAAAAGTTTGAGGAGATAGGAAGAAAGCTTAGACTTTGGATTAGAAATCTTATTATGGAACATTATGAAAATAATTGTATCTTTTCATCCCAATTGTATGTTTGGTTTGAATTTAGGTGCTAGTGTAGGCTTTTTGGCCCCTCTCTTCCCTTTAGGGTTCCCAAGTTAGAAGATCTTTCCTTATTCTTCTTCTCTTTCCAGGGGAAGCTATAGAACTCTGTGGCTAGAAGTGAGCTGTGGATGATGTTCACTTTCAAGATGATTGTGCAATCCTCCATGTTCAGAATCTGCCTGTAAGCTGCTGTGGCCTTGAGAGGGTGGTGAACTTGGAGGAAGGATTTTCGTAAAATGGCATAGAATGGGAGAATAGTGAACAACTGCGCCAGGGACCTGAGAGCAAGGGGCAAAGCTCTTGAGATTCCAGGGCAAATGGGCCATAGATCTACTTGCTTTAGGAGTTGAGGAGCGTGGTAGAAGGAAAAATATACTCCTAGAGTGAAGCTCCTCCAGAAAACCCCTCTCGGTTTTGGAGGAAATCATTTAAACACCACACCCTGTACTCGATGGGGAAGGAGCTCACTCTGGTAGAGGGTTGAGGTGAGGTACACTGTTGGTGTGGAGGGGCTGCTGCGTGTGTTAGTGTGTGGTGGTCCTGAGCTAGGCTTCTAGCCTGGCCTCCCCTGGACTATCTCTCAGCTCCAGGAGGAGGGAGGCTGGAACAAGTGATTCAGTTTAACAGAGGGGCTGTGGGTTCAGACAATTTGAGAAGCAGGTGTCAGGCATTTCATCAATAGCAGGGCCCCGTAATGAGCTGGGAGCTGTTTCTTCACTGTGGATGATATGGCTTGGCTAGATACCCACAGGCCTGTGGTGTAAATGTCCCCTTAGGGTTTGCCATACACTCCGCAATGCATCTCATCCTATCCCCGATCCCTCCCACACCACGGGGTTCTGCAGGCTCATATGGCCCCAGTGGCAGGCCGGCTTGTATCGCATCCTGTAGACTGGCCAGAGCAGTGGCCAGTAGGAGTGGAATATTCTCTCTCTAGAAACAAAGAGGACCACCAGGCATTGGGCTTTTATTTTATTTCTTTGGGGAGACTGTTGTTCAACAACACTGGCTCAGGTGAATAGCAGTGAGCATTAGGCGGGTTTGTGGACCTGGTGGGGCCCCAGTAAGCCAGACTTTAGCCAGTTCCCATTTATTACTTGATACACGATAAGCTCCACTTTAACAGGTGATAATGATGATGCTTTGATGATATTTCCAGGAGTTAATATCAACTCAAATCATATATCCAATAATCTCCAAAGTCTCCAGGTATTTTCCATATTCCAGGAAAATCTAAGTATTTCTGCTTCAATCAGTGTGGGCTTTTGCTTTTTACGGTTCCAAAAAGTTACCTGAGGTAGGCAGAATAATGCCCCCTCCCCCTAAAGGTGTCTATATCCTAATCCCCAGAACTTGTGAACATATTATTTTACATGGCAAAATGAACTTTGCAGGTAGGGATAAATCAAGGATCTTGGGATAGGGAGATTATCCTGTATTATTCAGGTGTATCCCAGTATCCCATTATAACAACAAGGGTCCCTGTAAGTGAAAAACAGAAGTAGGATGGTTAGAGAGGAAGAGAAATTTGAAGATGCTACACTTGATTTTGAAGATGGATGAAGGGGCCATGAACCAAAGAACATAATAAGCAGGCTCTAGACACCAAAGAAGATGAAGAAACAGGTTCTCCCTTAGAGTCTCCAGAAGGTATGCAGCTTGCCAACACCTTCATTTCAGCCCAGTAAGACCTATTTCAATCTTCTGATCTCCGCAACTGTAAGTTACATAATTTGTGTTGTATTAAGCTATTAAGGTTGTGGTAATGTGTTACATCAACAATGGGAAACTAGTATCCCACTCAGTAGTAAGTTTGCCCCTTGCCCAGGGACCCTTCCCAGAGCATTAAATCCTACATCTCAAGAAAGTGCCTTCAAGTCCATGAATCCTTCTTTTTCCAATCTTATGCTTTGGCCTCTTGATCAAGCCAAAGCCCAATCCAATCCAATCCCAGCTCCTGTGTGTACCTATTAGGTAATTCTTGCCATTCCTTTGAAGTATATATAATCCTTTCCCTCTTATGAAGCCCAGTGTGTCCTGAGCTGGGTTATGTTGGATATAATCGTACCCACTGGGGTGGTGTGGGAGTAAGAAGAGGAGATGGGAGCATGTCTTTTGGAAGTTACCTGTTGCCTTGTGGAGTTAAAGCTTCTGCAGTGTCTTCCACATAAGTGAAGTGCTGGTTCTTACTGTGGTGCAGTGGGCCACCTCTGCAAGGTCTGGATAGTCTCCAGAGCCAAAATCCTTGTGGCCATCCACTCAGATATCCCCATCCCATATTCTAGGGTTCCATCTTTTCCTAACCAGAGTCCTGGCCTTAGTATAACTGACCTACTTTGGCTGTGTATTTAAATGTCTCTGGAGTTCTGCATTTCTAACTATTAAGTTCTGAATCTGCTCCTTGGCCATGTCTTCTTTTTTATTGTAAGAGATAAATTAACAAAGAGGCTCCATGGTTTCCTCACTTAGCTTGTAGCTGGTTGCCAGTCATCCTCACTTTCACATGATATCCCTGTGAAGCATTATAATAACTTGATAACTATTTACCAGCTCTGCTGTCTTTGCATGTGTAGGTCCCAGATATCTTTCAAATGCCCAAATCATTGAGCTGTTCCCACTGAATCATTGAACTGTGACTAGGGCATCTTCCCAGGTCAACATCAATGAAAACTTCAGCAGTTGGCCTGTCACCTGTGCCAGGGACTATCTGTACTTGATATTCTATTTGGGATGCAGTCCTTCTTGCCAAATGGGTGGTGAGTGAGCCAGTCCTGTAACCCCATTATATTACCTGTTTTCCTGGACCACTTATGGTACCACCTGTGTCTTTCAAGGAGCAGAAGCTGAGATGGGCTCAGGCGTGCTAGAGATTTAATGGAAAAACACCTACTTAGGGTAAAGGGGAAAGGAGCAGAAACAGTTTGGTGAACCTTCAGACTGCAGTGCAGATATGGTATTTGTGAAAGGAGAGATGGAGGAAGGCATGATTGAAGAGGAAGATCCTCACACTACACTGCAGTCTTGAGAAAGCATTAGTCAGGCTGGCGAGTAGTTCCTCAGCAAAGAATGCTTGTTAAAGGGATCTTGTGTTGGGCAATAATGGCTCAGCTCTTGTCCTTGTGCTGTGCTTAGTCATTTTTGGGGGGTAACCCAGGGAAAGTATGATCTTGTTATTGTTACTGGCAAATCCATATGGGCCAGCAGCAGCCTCAATTTTCACCTCCTCAGAAGAAAGAATTTGACTGAGGGGCATAAGGCAGAAGGAGAGACCGAGGCAAGTTTTAAAGCAGGAATGAAAGGAAGTAAGAAGCAGGCCAACTGGGCAACTTCGGAGATCAGGTGTGTGGTTTGACCTTTTGACTTGGAGTTTTGTACGTTGGCATTCTTCTGGGGTCTTGTGTCCCTTCTCCACTGATTCTTCTCTTGGGTTGGGCTGTCCACATGTGCAGTGACCTGCTAGCACTTGGGAAATGAGCATGTGCAGTGTGTTTATTGGAGTTGGATGCATGCTCACTTAAGGTGTTCTTCTCTTTCCGATAGAAGGATCCTAGAAAGTCATATACCAGTTAAACTCTACCATTTGCCTCTTAATGCACATGCTTCAGCCCACTCACCCAACTCCTGAGATCTTGTTGGGAAGCTGCTGATCACCAGATTCAGTGTTTCTATCTATTGGGAGTCTGCCTTTCCCTGGCACCAGCTGTGATCAATTATTATTTTAGAGAGACAGCTAACAACTTCCTGATCATCACGTGATAGTGGTGTAACATTTTTGGTGTGTGTGGGAGTAGTGGGAGCTTTCTCCTGCCCTGCTCATGTCTGACTAGTTACCTACTGTAACAGTATGAACAATGTGGCAGATCCAACTATGCTCACTGTGGCAGGTTCTCTTAAAGGAAGTCTGAGTGGCACTCCTCCATGGCCACCCCACTGGTTAATAACCTCAGCTCTGGAGTCAGCATTTCTGGATTTGAAACTTGGTTATGCCACTCATTGGCTATGTGATTATTGGCAAGGTACTTAATTTCTTTAAACTATAGTTATCATATCTTAAAGCATGAGGTTTATGGTAATTATGTCATAGGCAAGCAGTGAGACTTAAAGAGTTAACACATGCAAAATGCATGCAACATGTGTGGCATACAGAAGGGGCATAATAAATGGTAACTAAACAAATAAAATAGGATTGATGGCTCTAGAGCCTGTTCTTATCTTTTCTTTAAGTCTACCTGTTACTCTTGGATGTGAACTAAAGAAGTCATTGTAATGTAGTAGGAGAAGGAATTCAGTTTCAGTGATAGGATTGAAGAATTCCTTTAAAAGGAGATTTTATTGTATTTGAATTAAACTCTAAAGTAGGAGTTAACTTTTGACAAATGGGAATGGCTAAGAAGATAAAGGAGACAAAAAAAGGAGGTGGATATTGGGGAGAAATTTCAGGTGGAAGAAAAGCCTTATTGGTAGGGGAGCAGAAAAAACATTTACTGAAAATCCCAGAGAAGATGCAGTACGTGAGGGAAGTGGACAAAGGCGAGATGACACCTTTACCAAGGTTACTCCGGACTTTATATTTGAATTCCTTTCAGTCATTTGGGAAATGTAAGTAAAAATTTGAATTCCTTATAAACTGCTTCTTGAACGTGACTCTGTTCTGAGACTGAACTGAAAGGGACCAGGTTTTGTCATGGCAAAACAGGCTGGCTGTGGATATTGAATATAGTCCTTATCTGGGAATAGTGCACTTATATTTGTGGCATAAACCAAAGAATAATGGGAGAAGAATTTTGGGCCAGATGGGAGATGACTTCTGACTACTTCTATAGACCACACTCAAGGGTTTAAGAATGTGGCAAATGAAAGTCTGTCTTCAAGATAAGATATTTAGCTGCACACAAAATGTTAACTCTCATTATTTTGAATCTTAAAGATTTCCAAATTAGATTACATATTTCCTTACTTGATTAAATATAGAACTGTAAGAATAATTCAGTCTCCCTTAATGGCCCAGTGTCATCATTGTGGACATTAGTTATTATGCAAGGTTGTACAGGGCAAAGACTTTGGAACTTAAAGTGCATCAGGCTTTTTGCCCCAGTGCTAATAGCACTACACACATTCAAGAGATTTTTTTAAAATTATTAATTCTTCTTTAGTCCCTTTTCTGCTGCCAATTCTTTATAATAGGCTCATTTCTAGTTTCCCAATTGTCAGGGTAGGGGCTTAATAGTAGCTCTACCTCTTTTTCTGAAGTAAGGCAAAGGGTCTTTGTGAGCATAGTCTTTGTGTGTGTGTGTGTGTGTGTTTAATACTTCGAGTTTTAGGGTACATGTGCACAACGTGCAGGTTTGTTACATATGTATACATGTGCCATGTTGGTGTGCTGCACCCATTAACTTGTCATTTACGTTAGGTATATCTCCTAATGCTATCCCTCCCCCATCCCCCACCCCAAAACAGACCCGATGTGTGATGTTCCCCTTCCTGTGTCCATGTGTTCTCATTGTTCAATTACCACCTATGAGTGAGAACATGCGGTGTTTGTTTTTTTGTCCTTGCGATAGTTTGCTGAGAATGATGGTTTCCAGTTTCATCCATGTCCCTACAAAGGATGTGAACTCATAATTTTTATGGCTGCATAGTATTCCATGGTGTATATGTGCCACATTTTCTTAATCCAGTCTATCACTGTTGGACATTTGGGTTGGTTCCAAGTCTTTGCTATTGTGAATAGTGCTGCAATAAACATATGTGTGCATGTGTCTTTATAGCAGCATGATTTATAATCCTTTGGGTATATACCCAGTAATGGGATGGCTGGGTCAAATGGTATTTCTAGTTCTAGATCCCTGAAGAATCGCCACACTGACTTCCACAATGGTTGAACTAGTTTACAGTCCCACCAACAGTGTAAAACTGTTCCTATTTCTCCACATCCTCTCCAGCACCTGTTGTTTCCTGACTTTTTAATGATCACCATTTTAACTGGTGTGAGATAGTATCTCATTGTGGTTTTGATTTGCGTTTCTCTGATGGCCAGTGATGATGAGCATTTTTTCATGTGTCTTTTGGCCGCATAAATGTCTTCTTTTGAGAAGTGTCTGTTCATATCCTTCACCCACTTTTGATGGGGTTGTTTTTTTTTTCTTGTAAATTTGTTTGAGTTCATTGTAGATTCTAGATAATAGCCCTTTGTCAGATGAGTAGACTGCAAAAATTTTCTTCCATTCTGTAGGTTGCCTGTTCACTCTGATGGTAGTTTCTTTTGCTGTGCAGAAGCTCTTTAGTTTAATTAGATCCCATTTATCAATTTTGGCTTTTGTTGCCATTGATTTTGGTGTTTCAGACATGAAGTCCTTGCCCATGCCTATGTCCTGAATGGTGTTGCCTAGGTTTTCTTCTAGGGTTTTTATGGTTTTAGGTCTAATATTTAAGTCTTTAATCCATCTTGAATTAATTTTTGTATAAGGTGTAAGGAAGGGATCCAGTTTCAGCTTTCTCCATATGGCTAGCCAGTTTTCCCAGCACCATTTATTAAATAGGGAATCCTTTCCCCATTTCTTGTTTTTGTCAGGTTTGTCAAAGATCAGATAGTTGTAAACAAGTGGCATTATTTCTGAGGGCTCTGTTCTGTTCCATTGGTCTATATCTCTGTTTTGGTACCAGTACCATGCTGTTTTGGTTACTGTAGCCTTGTAGTATAGTTTGAAGTCAGATAGTGTGATGCCTCCAGCTTTGTTCTTTTGGCTTAGGATTGACTTGGCAATGCAGGCTCTTTTTGGTACCATATGAACTTTAAAGTAGTTTTTTCCAATTCTGTGAAGAAAGTCATTGGTAGCTTGATGGGGATGACATTGAATCTATAAATTACCTTGGGCAGTATGGCCGTTTTCACAATATTGATTCTTCCTACCCATGAGCATGGAATGTTCTTCTATTTGTTTGTATCCCCTTTTATTTCATTGAGCAGTGGTTTGTAGTTCTCCTTGAAAAGGTCCTTCATGTCCCTTGCCAGTTGGATTCCTAGGTATTTTATTCTCTTTGAAGTAATTGTGAATGGGAGTTCACTCCTGATTTGGCTCTCTGTCTGTTATTGGCGTATAAGAGTGCTTGTGATTTTTGCACATTGATTTTGTATCCTGAGACTTTGCTGAAGTTGCCTATCAGCTTAAGGAGATTTTGAGCTGAGATGATGGGGTTTTCTGGATATACAATCATGTCATCTGCAAACAGGGACAATTTGACTTCCTCTTTTCCTAATTGAATACCCTTTATTTCCTTCTCCTGCCTGATTGCCCTGGCCAGAACTTCCAACACTATGTTGAATAGGAGTGGTGAGAGAGGGCATCCCTTTCTTCTGCCAGTTTTCAAAGGGAATTCTTCCAGTTTTTGCCCATTCATCATGATATTGGCTGTGGGTTTGTCATAGATAGCTCTTACTATTTTGAGATACATCCCATCAATACATAATTTATTGAGAGTTTTTAGCATGAAGCGTTGTTGAATTTTGTCAAAGGCCTTTTCTGCATCTATTGAGATAATCATGTGGTTTTTGTCTTTGGTTCTGTTTATATGCTGGATTACGTTTATTGATTTGTATATGTTGAACCAGCCTTGCATCCTAGGGATGAAGCCCACTTGACCATGGTGGATAAGCTTTTTGATGTGCTGCTGGATTTGGTTTGCTAGTATTTTATTGAGGATTTTTGCATCGATGTTCATCAGGGATATTGGTCTGAAATTGTCTTTTTTTGTTGTGTCTCTGCCAGGCTTTGGTATCAGGATGATGCTGGCCTCATAAAATGAATTAGGGAGGATTCCCTCTTTTTCTATTGATTGGAGTAGTTTCAGAAGGAATGGTACCAGCTCCTCCTTCTACCTCTGATAGAATTCCGCTGTGAATCCATCTGGTCCTGGACTTTTTTTGGTTGGTTAGCTATTAATTTTTACCTCAATTTCAGAGCCTGTTATTGGTCTATTCAGAGATTCAAGTTCTTCCTGGTTTAGTCCTGGGAGGGTGTATGTGTCGAGGAATTTATCCATTTCTTCTAGATTTTCTAGTTTATTTGCATAGAGTTGTTTATAGTATTCTCTGATGGTAGTATTTCTGTGGGATCGGTGGTGATATCCTCTTTATCATTTTTCATTGTTTCTATTTGATTCTTCTCTCTTTTCTTCTTTATTAGTCCTGCTAGTGGTCTATCAATTTTGTTGATCTTTTCAAAAAACCAGCTCCTGGATTCACTGATTCTTTTGAAGGGTTTTTTGTGTCTCTATTTCCTTCAGTTCTGCTCTGATCTTAATTATTTCTTGCCTTCTGCTAGCTTTTGAATGTGTTTGCTCTTGCTTCTCTAGTTCTTTTAATTGTGATGTTAGGGTGTCAATTTTAGATCTTTCCTGCTTTCTCTTGTGGGCATTTAGTGCTATAAATTTCCCTCTACACACTGCTTTGAATGTGTCCCAGAGATTCTGGTATGTTGTTTTTGTTCTTGTTGGTTTCAAAGAACATCTTTATTTCTGCCTTCATTTCGTTATGTACCCAGTAGTCATTCAGGAGCAGGTTGTTCAGTTTCCATGTAGTTGAGCAGTTTTGAGTGAGTTTCTTAATCCTGAGTTCTAGTTTGATTGCACTGTGGTCTGAGAGACAGTTTGTTATAATTTCTGTTCTTTCACATTTGCTGAGGAGTGCTTTACTTCCAACTATGTGGTCAATTTTGGAATAGGTGTGGTGTGGTGCTGAAAAGAATGTATATTCTGTTGCTTTGGGGTGGAGAGTTCTGTAGATGTCTGTTAGGTCCACTTGGTGCAGAGCTGAGTTCAATTCCTGGATATCCTTGTTAACTTTCTGTCTCGTTGATCTGTCTAATGTTGACAGTGGGGTGTTAATGTCTCCCGTTATTATTGTGTGGGAGTCAAAGTCTCTTTGTAGGTCTCTAAGGACTTGCTTTATGAATCTGGATGCTCCTGTATTGGGTGCATATATATTTAGGGTAGTTAGCTCGTCTTGTTGAATTGATCCCTTTACCATTATGTAATGGCCTTCTTTGTCTCTTTCGATCTTTGTTGGTTCAAAGTCTGTTTTATCAGAGACTAGGATTGCAACCCCTGCCTTTTTTTGTTTTCCATTTGCTTGGTAGATCTTCCTCCATCCCTTTATTTTGAGCCTATGTGTGTCTCTGCATGTGAGATGGGTTTCCTGAATACAGCACACTGATGGGTCTTGACTCTTTATCCAATTTGCCAGTCTGTATCCTTTAATTGGAGCATTTATCCCATTTACGTTTAAGGTTAATATTGTTATGTGTGAATTTGATCCTGTCATTATGATGTTAGCTGGTTATTTTGCTCATTAGTTGATGCAGTTTCTTCCTAGCCTGGATGGTCTTTACAATTTGGCATGTTTTTGCAGTGGCTGGTACTGGTTGTTCCTTTCCATGTTTAGTGCTTCCTTCAGGAGCTCTTTTAGTGCAGGCCTGGTGGTGACAAAATCTCTCAGCATTTGCTTGTCTGTAAAGTATTTTATTTCTCCTTCACTTATGAAGGTTAGTTTGGCTGGATATGAAATTCTGGGTTGAAAATTCTTTAAGAATGTTGAATATTGGCCCCCACTCTCTTCTGGCTTGTAGAGTTTCTGCCGAGAGATCTGCTGTTGGTCTGATGGGCTTCCCTTTGTGCGTAACTGGACCTTTCTCTCTGGCTGCCATTAACATTTTTTCCTTCATTTCAACTTTGGTGAATCTGACAATTACGTGTCTTGGAGTTCCTCTTCTCGAGGAGTATCTCTGTGGCGTTCTCTGTATTTCCTGAATTTGAATGTTGGCCTGCCTTGCTAGATTGGGGAAGTTCTCCTGGATAATATCCTGCAGAGTGTTTTCCAACTTGGTTCCATTCTCCCCGTCACTTTCAGGTACACCAATCAGACATAGATTTGGTCTTTTCACATAGTCCCATATTTCTTGGAGACTTTATTCATTTCTTTTTATTCATTTTTCTCTAAACTTCTCTTCTCACTTCATTTCATTCATTTGATCTTCCATCGCTGATACCCATTCTTCCAGTTGATCGAATCAGCTACTGAGGCTTGTGCATTCATCACATCGTTCTCGTGCCGTGGTTTTCAGCTCCATCGGGTCCTTTAAGGACTTCTCTGCATTGGTTATTCTAGTTAGCCATTTGTCTAATTTTTTTTCAAGGTTTTTAACTTCTTTGCCATGGGTTCAAACTTCCTCCTTTAGCTCGGAGTAGCTTGATTGTCTGAAGCTTTCTTCTCTCAACTCGTCGAAGTCATTCTCCGTCCTGCTTTGTTCCGTTGCTGGTGAGGAGCTGTGTTCCTTTTAAAAATCAGAGGTGCTCTGATTTTTAGAGTTTCCAGTTTTTCTGCTCTGTTTTTTCCCCATCTTTGTGGTTTTGTCTATCTTTGGTCTTTGATGATGGTGACATACAGATGGGGTTTTGGTGTGGATGTCCTTTCTGTTTGTTAGTTTTCCTTCTAACAGGACCCTCAGCTGCAGGTCTGTTGGAGTTTGCTAGAGGTCCACTCCAGACCGTGTTTGCCTGGGTGTCAGCAGCAGAGGCTGCCGAACAGCGGATATTGTTGAACAGCAAATGTTGCTGCCTGATCATTCCTGTGGATGTTTTGTCCCAGAGGAGTACCCGGCCGTGTGAGGTGTCATTCTGCCCCTACTGAGGGGTGCCTCCCAGTTAGGCTACTCAGGGGTCAGGGACCCGCTTGAGGAGGCAGCCTGTCCGTTCTCAGATCTCCAGCTGCATACTGGGAGAACTGCTGCTCCCTTCAAAGCTGTCAGACAGGGACATTTAAGTCTGCAGAGGTTTCTGCTGCCTTTTGTTTGGCCATGCCCTGCCCCCAAAGGTGGAGTCTACAGAGGCAGGTAGGCCTCCTTGAGCTGTGGTGGGCTCCACCCTGTTCAAGCTTCCTGGCAGCTTTGTTTACCTACTCAAGCCTGGGCAGTGGCGGGCGCCCCTCCCCCAGCCTCACTGCTGCCTTGCAGTTTGATCTCAGACTGCTGTACTAGCAGTAAGTGAGGCTCCATGGGTGTAGGACCCTCTGAGCCAGGCACGGGATATTATCTCCTGGTGTGCTGTTTGCTAAGACTGTTGGAAAAGCACGGTATTAGGGTGGGAGTGATACGATTTTCCAGGTGCTGTCTGTCACCCCTTTCTTTGACTAGGATAGGGAATTCCCTGACCCCTTGCGCTTCCCAGGTGAGGTGATGCCTCGCCCTGCTTTGGCTCACGCTTGGTGCGCTGCACCCACTATCCTGCAACCACTTTCCGACATTCCCCAGTGAGATGAACCCGGTACCTCAGTTGGAAATGCAGAAATCACCCATCTTCTGCGTCGCTTACTCTGGGAGCTGTAGACTGGAGCTGTTCCTATTTGGCCATCTTGGCTCCTCCTCCGCATAGTCTGTGTTTTATGGGCCTTGTTTGGAGGTAAAGACTTTTCTGTGATATATTGGATCTCATAATTAATTGGTAGATCTTCTGCAAGCCTTGGGTTCCAGCCTCATCTGTGTCCTTAAGTAGCTATGTTTTGGGTATCACTTATCCTTCCTCAGGTTAATTTCCACATTTGTAAAATAGAAACTTGGAAACATGTTCTCTGAAGTCTTGGAATGATGGGTGCAGCATGTTTTCAGGAGTCAGATGGTATTCAGAAATTCTTATTTGCAAGGTTGGTAAGATAGTTAAGCAAGTTAGTTCATCTCTATGTCTCTTTCTGTTTTCTTGTCCATTTTGATAGTTAATAATATTGGTTGCATAGTTACTGTGAGGTGTGGGTAGAATAAATGGCAAAAATTCCTCTTACAGTTCCTGCAACCCAGGGGAGAGTACTGGTTAGTTCCAGTTCCCTTTCTTCAATTGAAATTTTTTCTGCAAGATTAAATGCCAAAGAGATCAGAATTCCCCAGATTCCTTCAAAGTCTCTAGGTGTCATTAGCCAAATAGGCCACTGGATGTCATACTTGATCTAAGCTACTGTACACATACTATCCAGTGCACTTTGGCTTGGACAGTCTTAGGTTTTTAGGAATAGAATAGACTTTGGCAATCTTCGAGGCCAGAGTTTAAAAACTGTGGTTATAGGCAAGTTTTATTTTGCACACATTTTATTTTTCTCAGTATTCATTGTACTTGGATGCATCAAGGCAAAGGGTGCACTCTTCAGAATGATCAGAGTTGAGACAACTGTGTCCTACTCCCTGGAGTCTTACAGGTGTGCTTCACTCATTTGGGTCACCCAACTAGTTCCTTAAGGGAAGGGAGTGTAGGAGTCCTTTATGTCCTTTTACAAAGGAGGAGCCTGACCACCCAGGCAGCTTACATGGTTTGACCAAAACACAGGTTAAATTGGTTGTAAATCTGGACCTAGAACTCAGGTCACTGAACTCCCCAGTTGGTCCTTGGCATTGAGCCAGGCACTTTAGAGCCACATCAAAATTATGTACCTTTAGGAAATTTCTACTATGCAGAAGCAGATGGTATGAATCATTATCTGGTTCTGCCTCTCTCCTAAGCTCTGTCTAGTGACAAGCCATAAAATATTCTGGCCTTCACACTGACATTTGATTGGGTGTTTTATCTCATGAATATTTTATCTCATGATTTTGATTCAGGGATGGGACTGTGGTTGGATTATGAGTCCCAAGGCACTTAGCAGAGAAACATTAGGCTAACAATAAAGTCCACAGCCTCTAACAGGAAATCAGTAAAACAAGTCAAGGGTTATGATTTATCCCAGCTCTTGTTAGAAAAAGCAAGCAAAGAGAGCTCACTCTGAGTACTAATAAGTTATAATGTAACCATACACATGCATAGTGGGTACACACTCTTAAACATAGAAGTTTAAATTTTCATAACAGTTAGATGGAATATATAGGCTAATATTGCCTTCAACTATACCCACTGCCTTTGGAAAGGCAGGAAGGATCATCGTCTTTCAAATTAAACTCTCCCTGGTTGTATTCTCACTAAAATTGTAGGTTATTTGTGGGATGTTGGTGGCAGAATTGCAGACCTATAGGAGCTACCAAGAAAAGAGTGAGTCAGGTCTCCTTATAAAACACTTTGCTACCTGGGGCACTTGTTCTGAGATCCTGCACAAGTTGGGAAGCATGTGGTTCCTTCCCTGGGGACCCAGAGATGTGGACGGGGAGCCATGTCTCTTCAGTTAATGAATTTTGAAGGTTCTTAAGGAAGCTCACAGGCAAGCTCTTTAAAGTCTTTTGAAGAACCTTGATGTCAATGATTAAAAATGGTAGCATAGCCTATTAGAAGTGGAACAAGTATGAAAGAGCATCAAGCTGATTTTCACATGACAGAATCAGAAGTGGGGGTCTGGAGGTGATAGAGGACTTGCTGAAGGGTAGACAGCAATTTAGCTGAGCCAGTGCTTTCTTATACCCAGAAAGTATTTACTGCTTTTGCTACTTTATGCTCATTTTGTTTTTTGTTTTTCTATTGAGGTATTATTGACATGCAATAAATTGCACAAATAAATTACAGAAATTAAATTATAACATTTGATAAGTTTTGACATGTCTATTCTCACAAAACCATCATCACAGTCAAGATGATGAACAAATCTATCACCCTGGAAAGTTTCCCAGTGCTGCTTTGCCCCTCTCCCCAAACAACCACAACCTGTGTTGTCTCACTCTACATTCACTTGCATATTCTAGAATATAATATAAATGGAATCATGCAGTATCTACTCTCCTTTGTTTGGCTTCTGTTGTATACAACATACTTATTTTAACATTCATCCATGTTGCAGCATGTTTACTTTTTAGTTGCTGAGTAGCATTCCATTGAATGAATGTGCCACAATTTGTTTATTCCTTCATTCATCCGTTGGTGAATGTTTGGGTTTTATTCCAGTTATTGGCTGTTACAAATAATGCCACTATGAACATTCATGCACAGGTCTTTATATGAATACATGCTTTTGTTTCTCTTGGATCAATACCTAGGAATGGAATGGCTGGATTATATGATAGGAATATGTTAAACTCTTTTAAAAACCAGTGTTATTGAAGAGCAATTGATATATAATACATAGTATACATTTAAATTACACAATTTGATAAACTTTGACATACGTATGCACCTGTGAAAATGTCAACACATTCAAGATAGTGAACATATCAGTCACCCACAGATGCTTCCTGGTGTTTCTTTGTAATCTCCCCACCTTTCTCAGCTCCAAACTCAGGAAAACTCAGACTTGCTTTCTGTCACTATAGGGTAGTTTCCATTTTCCAGAATTGTTTAAAATGAATTAATACAATATGTGCTATTTTATGTTTGGGTTCTTTCACCCAATATAATTATTTTCCATTTCACCCATGTTGTAGCATATCAATAGTTTATTTCTTTTTTCTTGATGAGTCCTGTTCCATTGTATGGATAGATTTTGGTTATTACAGAGAAAGCTGATAGGAACATTCATACATAAGTTTTTATATGGAAATATGCTTTCATTTATCTTGGGTAAATATACAGGAGTGGAATGGCTGGATCATACAGTGAGTGTACCTTTAATTTTCTAAGGCACTGCCAAATTGTCTCAAAATTCACTGTATCATTTTACATTCCCAAGAGCAGTGTATAAGACTTCCAATTCTTCTACAACCTTGCCAACATTTCTTATGGCAAGTCTATTTAATTTTAGCTAGTCCAATACATGTATAAGGATATGTGAGTGTGATTTTAATTTGCATTTCTCTAATGACTAATGACGTTGAACATCTTTTTAGGTAATTTTGTCCTCCATATATCTTCTTTGGTGAAATGTCAATTCAAATCTCTGTCCATTTTTAAAAATGAGGCTTTTGCTCTTAGTGTTGAATGTTGAGAGCTCTATATCTCCTAGATACACAGCCTTTATAAGATATATTCTTTGCAAAGATTTTCTCCTAGTCTGTGGCTTGTTTCATTCTCTTTTAAAGACCAGAAGTTTTAAATTTTGATAGAGTTCAAGTTATCAATTTGGTTTTTTATACATCATGCTTTTGGTGTTATATCTAAGAAATATTTGCGTATCTTAGGGTAACAATATTTTTCCTATGTTTTCTTCTAGATGTTTTATTGTTTTAAGTTTTAAATGTTTTTCTAGGATGCATTTTGAGTTAGTTTTGCTGTATGGTGTGAGATATGAATCAAACTTTGTTTTACCAATAGATATTCAATTGCTTTCATCACCCTTTGTTGAAACAACTATGTTTTCTCCACTGAATTAACTTTACACATCTGTCAAAAATCAGCTGGCCATTTATATATATATATATATATCTTTGGATTCTATTTTGTTCCATGGATCTGCTTTAATATCCTGACACTAATATTGCAATGTCTTAGTTACTTTAGCTATAAAATAATTCTGGAAGTCAGGTAGTACAAGACTTCAAACTTTGTTCTTCTTTTCAAAGTTGTGTTAGCAAGTCCTATATGCATTTTCATATAAATTTTGCAATCATCTTGCCAACTTCTAAATAAATCTGCTGGAATTTTGACTGGGGTTGCACTGAAACTATGATTGGGGAGAATTCACATTTTGGCAACATTGGGTCTTCTGACCCATGAACATGGTGTATCTCTCCATTTATTTGGGTTTTCTTTAATTACTCTCAGTAATATTTATAGTTTTCATTGCACAAGTCTTTTATATCTTTTTAAAATATTTATCCCTATTTCATATTTTTTGATGGTATTGCAAGTTGTATTGCTTTTTAAATTTCAACTTTGGGTAGTTTGTTGCTAGTATATAGAAATACAATTGATTTTTGTAGATTAATCTTATACCCTGAAACCTTGCTAAACTCACTTATTGGTTCTTTATTAAGAAAAAATAGGACAAATAAACAAACAAATGATAATAAATAATAGGACAAATAAATAATATGACAATAAAGCTACTTATATTTTGTTTCTTCTTTAAGAGCAAATTTATTCTTATTTCTTAAAGAAGAAATAAGATACAAGTAGCTTTATTGTAGAGTCCACTGAATTTTCTATTTGGACTATTATGTTGTATTTAAATAAAGACAGTGTTACTTCTTTCTTTCCAGTCTGAAATTTTAATTTTTACTTGTTCCATAGAGAAATGAACCTGAAAATTTCTGTGAAAACCCTACTAGGCTACATTTGCAAATTTTTGTGATAATGATGACTGTTATTTATATGATGCTTACCATGTCAGGCACTGTGATAGGTATTTTAATGTACATAATTTCAATGAATCCTCACAGTAACCCTGTGAGGGAGACATTATGATTTCTCTTTAACTGATGAAGAAACAAAATCAGGGAGTTTAAGTGATTTTCCAAGATCAAATAGTGAGTACTCCCAAGCCAGTGCTCATGCTGCTCTGCAAGGTAGCATGGGATTAAAAAGCCCAATGGGAGTCATGTTGAGGTGGACCTTGAGTGTTAGAGTAGCAAGTCTCAGCCCATAAACACAACATAAAGAAAACATTGCTTTATTTTTCTGCAACTCAACTTGATTTTTCACTGAGCTCCCATCTTATCGGACAGGTAAAAATAAAAACTTGCTAAGACTCATCTTCCCATTCCTGAGACTCTGCCGCAATCCTTAGTATCCTGTATAGTGCCAGAATATAGCCACGGAAAGGGAGAGTTTGGTCTTCATCATTGGGTCATAGAGACGATTTATGAGAAGGCCAATGTCTCTGTCTCTACAGTGCCTTTCATTCCCTTAGAGAAGCCCTTGCCATGTTTGAGGCATGGATATATAGTCAAGGCTGCTTGAACTTGTTCTGCAGCCATTCTTTGAGATTTTGTTACTTCTGGAGGGTGCTGCTTGGAAGTTGGAACTGAATTCCCTATGTTCTTGGTTCTTGAGGTCTCTACCTTCTCTCTCTTCCCATCCCCATGATATTTTGTGGATGAGGATATGCATTTCTCCCTTTGCTTTTCTATGATAGTTTGTCTCTGCCTTTGTCACTTTCTGCCACCCTTTCAGTTTCTTCAAATACCCTACAAATTCTTCCAGTCCCTAAAGCTTTTGAAAAACCACAGCTAGAAAACCTTGCAGGAAATCTCTGTTTGATGTTTAGCCAGACACTTTTACTGAAGCAATGATAGACAGTTGTACCTGCTAAGAAAGGGGAAGAATACAGTGAGAATAGAAGAAAGTTACTATAGAAAATATTTATATAGCCATGTAAGCTAAGAAATCTGTAGTTAATTCCATAGATCAACATTTCAAGTATTGGTTGTGGAAAGGTTTCACTTTTTAAAATAAACTGTTTATTAAGTGGTTTTGTTAATGATACCTTCAGTTTTTTGAATATGTAATGATGAGGAAAGTGGAAATTTACAGTGGTATCATTCATTGGTATGCTGATTGATTGGTAATGACTACCTGGAGCCCTATGCTGAAAAGGATTCTGAGGCTGTGACTTAGACCAATAGGAGATCAATGAGTCATTCCTCAATGTCTGCCAAGGGTATGGGAGAGGAGACTGTCTGCCCATGTGCCAGATATTTGCTTTCCCTGGGGTGTTTTATCATATTTTATTATTGTTAGGAGCATACAGAGGGGATAGAAAATTTGGCAAGTGGCAAGGAAGTAGGCCTTGTGGTAGTAATATGTTGACTGTGTGCTACTGAAACAATATTGGTCTGTGATATGGTTTGGCTGTGTCCTGGCCCAAATCTCAACTTGAATTGTATCTCCCAGAATTCCCATGTGTTGTGGGAAGGACCCAGGGGGAGGTAATTGAATCATGGGAGCTGGTCTTTCCCATGCTATTCTCATTCCTTGTGTCCCAGCCACTCTAGCCAAGGCCGAGAGCGGCCAACATACAACTCGGGCTCTGGCTTCAGAAGGTGCAAGCCTCAAACCGTAGCAGCTTCCACGTGGTGTTGAGCCTGCAGATGCACAGAAGTCAAGAATTGAGGTTTGGGAACCTCTGCCTAGATTTCAGAAGATGTGTGGAAATGCCTGCATGTTCAGGCAAAAGTTTGATGCAGAGGTGGGGCCCTCAGGGAGAACCTCTGCTAGGGCAGTGTGAAAGGGAAATGTGGGGTCAGAGTCCCCACACAGAGTCCCTACTGGGGCACTGCCTAGTGGAGCTGTGAGAAGAGGGCCACTGTTCTCCAGATCCCAGAATGGTAGATCCACTGACAGCTTGCACCGTGTGCCTGAAAAAGCCACAGACACTTAAGGCCAGCCTGTGGAAGCAGCTGGGAGAGAGGCTGTACCCTGCAAAGACACAGGGGTGGAGCTGTTCAAGACCATGGGAACCGACCTCTTGCATCAGCATGACCTGGATGTGAGACCTAGAGTCAAGGGAGATCATTTTGGAGTTTTAAAATTTGACTGCCCCACTGGATTTTGGACTTGCATGGGCCCTGTAACCCCTTTGTTTTGGCCAATTTCTCCCATTTGGAACAGCTGTATTTAACCAATACCTGTACTCCCATTGTATCTAGGAAGTAACTAGCTTGCTTTCGATTTTATAAGCTCATAGGTGGAAGGGACTTGCCTTGTTTCAGATGAGACTTTGGACTGTGGACTTTTGGGTTAAGTTGAAATGAGTTAAGACTTTGGGGGACTGTTGGGAAGGCATGGTTGGTTTTGAAATGTGAGGCCATGGGATTTGGAGGGGCCAGGGGCAGAATGATATGGTTTGGTTGTGTCCCCATCCAAATCTTAACTTGAATTGTATCTCCCAGAATTCCCACATGTTGTGGGAGGGACCCAGGGATAGGTAATTGAATCATGGGGGCTGGTCTTTTCCATGCTATTATTGTGATAGTTAAGAAGTCTCATGAGCTCTGATGGGTTTATCAGGGATTTCCGCTTTTGCTTCTTCCTCATTTTCTCTTGCCGCTGCCATGTAAGAAGTGCCTTTCACCTCCCACCGTGATTCTAAAGCCTCCCCAGCCATGTGGAACTGTAAGTCCAATTAAACTTCTTTTTCTTCCCAGTCTCAGGTATGTCTTTATCAGCAGTGTGAAAACAGACGAATACAGTCTGCCCACCACTGTTAGTCACATGTTTCAATTGATAGTCTCTGCTATAGAGTCTGAGAGTCTGAATCAGGTATTTATAAAACAGTGGCAGAACTGGGGCCAGAATTCTGGACTCTTGCTTCAGAGTTCACTCTTTTCATGGAAACTATATCAGGGGTCCTTGTGAATGTTCAGACTTAGAGGATTTTTTTTTTCTTAGTGCAACTTTTTTGGATCTAAAGTTGTTCATATCATGACATTGCTCATCAAAAGGAAATTTTACTCAGAATTGCTTGAAATATGGGAGTCAAAGATACCACCCACTTGCTGTTACTTAATATCATTCCTAGTTCTCGGAAATCCAGATTCTCCTCTCTCTTCTCCTCTCCCCTCCATTTTTCTTTTGCTTCAATTTCCTCCCTTTCTCTCTTTCTTCCTTCCTCTCATTTTCCTCCACTCTATCCCATACTCTCTTTCATCTGTTCCTTTCTCCCTTTTTTCTTCCCACTCAACCAGCATTTTTAAACACCTACTTTGTATCAGATACATAGCATTTCTTTAACTTCTTATCCTCTCCAACATTGGGCATATGCTTCTGGATATTGACATCAGCAACAGTTATCCATAAACTCAAAACCTGAGTTGGTTTCTCTGATTTTGCACAACAGCTTCAGTGACTCTCAGGTATAAACACATATGAATTTCCTGTAACTTTATAACTTCTCACTGTTATATTAGTCATCGATTGCTGTGACTCTCAGGTGATAAACACATTCACATTCATTGTAAGTTTGTAGCTTTTCACTGTTATATTGGTTATTAGTTCCTTCACAAAAAATTATCCTGAAGCTTAACAGATTAAAATAACATTTATTATCACTGTTTCTGTGGGGCAGGAGCCAGGTGCAGCTGGCTTGGTCATCTGCTTTGAAGTTTATCATAAAGTCCACTCAATGTATTAGCCAGGGCTGCAGTCCTCTCAAAGCTCTGCTGAGGAGTGACCCACTTCCAAGAGCAATCATGTGGTTGATAGCAGGACTCAGTTCCCCACGGACTGTTGGCTGCAGGCTACCTTCAGTTCCTTGCCATGTGACTCTTTACACAGCCCAGCTTACAATATGGCAGCCAGCTTCATCACAGTGAACAGGCAAGAACAACCAGCAAGGTGGAAATCATAATCTTTTATAACATAACCTTGGAAGTGATATCTGATCACTTTTGCCATCTTCTGTTCATTAGAATGGAGTTACTAGGTCCACTATGCACACAAAGGAAGGAGATAATACGATTGTGTGAATATCAGGAAGTGGGGCCAATGGGATCCTCCCTACACAGTTACACTTTCAATGGGTGACAATACTTCGAGAAACTCTAAGGTAAATTGGCTGTTTCCTTTTAGTTGGTAAAGGCAGGGTAAAAGTGCTGAAATTGCCTTTGCAAAAATTACAACATTGAGAAAATTTTGACAGTGAAAGCGATCTGTTGTAACCAAACCCCATCTTGCCTTTAAGCTCCAAGCTGCCCTTAATTACTCCTGGGCTTGGCCAAGCTAACTTTGAGAGACATTTAGTTTATAGTTTAAATAATGGTCCTTCCCTCAAACTAACTGCCTTTGTAAAGCTCATGAAAGACTACCAGATTAGGAGGGTGTAGAGCCTGAATTCTTCTAAGGTGTCCACTAAAGGATAACCAGCCATTATTCTGTAGGTCACAAAATTTGCAACTCCCCCAATTACTCTTGCAAATAACATCACTATAGTAGAACCTAAGTTGGCCTTTTGAGGTGTCTTTTCAGGTTTTTGCATTTCTGACTACTTATGGCTTCACCTAAGCCCACTGACTCCCTCTGATTTGTCCCATAACCCCACTCAGAAGCAAACTCCCTAGCCAGCCAAACTATCCTTGAAAGACCCTAGTCTCCGAATTTTCAGGGAGATTGAGATGAGTAATAACTCTGTCTCCCACATGGTATGGCTGGCTTCATGTCTATTAAACTCTTTATTGCAATGTCATGGTCTCAGTGAATTGGTTTTGTCTGTGCAGTGGGCAAGAAGAACCCATCAGGTGGTTGGATACAGAGCCAAGATTCATAAGTACCCATCATGAAAGGCCAGCGCCAGATGTTTTCATATGCCTACTTAATTTAAACATCACATCCTTCCTGTGATGTAGGAATTTGTAGCAGACTTTGCTAGTTTTCTCTTGGTATTCATTCTTCCGTTCTTTCATAGTAAAAGAATTTTTTTCCTGCCTAGATAAAGACTACATTTCCCATCTTCTCTTGCAGCTAGGTGTGGCCACATGCTTAAATTTTGGCCAATGTGATGTAAACTACAGTGTCCTGTGGCAGCTTCCAGTAGCTCTCCTAAAGGGACAGCTCGTGGGTGCCCTTCCCTTTCTTTGTCCTTTCTCTATCTTTCTACTTGGATGTAAATCTTAGGCAATGAGATCGAGACCATTCAAGTAAAGCAACAAAAGGAAGCCTATGTTCATGAAACTGTGAAGCACAGTACCAGCATTGTACTGCCCTTTGGGACTTTTGGGTAAGAGACAATAAATTGCTATCTTATTTAAACTATTGCTATTTGGGAATACTGTCACTGCCAACCAAACCTAGTCTTAGCTAATTCAGAATTCGGCATCAAGAAGTGGGGTGCTACAGGTAACAGAAGCTAAAATATGTGGTATTAGCTTAGGGCAAGCTTAGCAAACTTTCACTGTCAAGGACCAGATAGTAAATATTTTAGGCTCTGTGGGCCATATGTGGTCTTAGTTACATGTTCTTCCTTTTTTTTTTCTCTAAACCAGCCTTTCAAAAATGTGAAAAACATTCTCAGCTCAACCTTTTAAAAACATAACAGTCATTTTTAACTCAAGGGCCAACAAACATCAGGCAGCTGGATTTGGTCCTGGAGGAATAGTTTGCTCTAGTTCTTAGGGATCAGCAGATGCCCCCAGGCAAATGTTGATTTCAGGGCCCACTTACCTTTCTGGAGTCATGTTTTCTCAATATTTTAATTGCTAAGTATTTCTCTTGTCTTTTTATGGATTGAAAAATAATGCATTTAATTATTAAAAGTTGCATTTAATCTCAGAAGAGTGAACTTATATAGAAGATGTGAATCATGTAAAGAAGTTGTCAAAACCACATTGCAATTATGGATTATTAATATTCAGGTATTTACTCACAAAAAGAAAAAATTTTATTTTTAGGAAAGAAAAAATTAGGCACCAACTCATATTGATAATTTTTAAAACTTTATAATGGCACTTGAAAATTCAATTAAAACAATTGCATCATCCAGGAATTATACAATATTGCATTGTCTCTCATTTCATGTGATTTATGATTCTAAGATGCCCATTATGTTAATATCTTCCAAACCAAAGATTATTTTCCCAACAAGTGAATGGTGTAATTTTACTTAATATATTTAGATAGATCACAAAGTTCTATAAAACATTGTACTAAAGTACAAAAATAAGTGCTTTATGCACACTTTTTAATACTGTCTTTGTCTCTTTTTTGGTACCTCAGCTAACTAACTTCACATAAATAAAAATAATAACAAAAAAGAAAAGAAGAAAGAGATTGTTAAACATCTGGAAACTATAAATGCATTTTGCTGACAGCTTGCTTTTCATTAAGATATAGGGAATAACAATATCGGGCTGTATTGCAGTCAGAAACATAGAAGAAAAGGAGAATTCTCTGAAGGAATAAGAATAAAAATTCCAATGGTTACATTAAATATTTAAACCAGTGATAATGATGAATTGATTTAAATAGATTTATCTGTAGTCTGTGTGCCCAAAGATATCTTAGGAATTATAAAGAAAATGCCAAGTTTCAAAATAAAATTTACATTTGTAAAAAGGTATATATACTTTATTGCAAAGAAAGGCATGTCTAAGTCTTGTGATATAGATTTTAAAATTTTATAAACACAAATGTATTTAGAAAACAGAAATAGTTAATGGCCAAAATGTTTTCAAGTAAATAAAATGTATAGGTACCTGCTCATTAACATCATAAATCAGTAGGTGAATTTATCAATTCCATGTTTTAATTCTCCTTCTGGACCTCTAACTAACCTTTTTCTCCTTCTATTTTTGCATAGTCCTTTATATTTCTCCTGGGGGAAATATTTGAAAACTCATTTTACTTAAATAACCATAATAGGTGAAGTGTTAAATTCACCTTTTAAAAGGCTTATTGTATCAGTCCAGAGTTTGGCAATAATAGTGGAAACTTAAGGTTTAGAACAGAGTTGATTTATTTTCAGAATTCTAAGTGGCAAAACCTATCAGGTGTTGCAATTATATTCAATTTTGAAAAATGCAGAATGGACCATGGGACTGTGTGCCCCAATTAAAGAGAGAAGTAGGAAATATATGTATTTGTATTCACAGTTTCTGGTATAAGAGTAGGTGCATAGTAAACACAGGCTGATCATATATTCTCTGAAGAATAGATTTGAGGGTTAATAACAATAGAGCCTGTAAAACTTGTTTAATTTCCAATGTTAGTGAAGAGAATAGAGGGAGGGAAAAAGGGAAATTTTATGAAAAAGGAAAATAATCTCTCAATGTTATTTTCCATTAAAAATAATAAAACCTTTATATGACGTGATGTGAGGATTTTTCGTGAAGAATGGTTGATGAACAATCATAATGATGAAATCAAATGCAAGGGAATTAGTGTTGGAGCAAATTTGTGAAGCAGAAGGAAAAAAGGCAATATCCTTTTTAAGGTGAAGGTTAACGTAAGACCTGTCTGTTTTGGGATAGAAGTAACTCAACTCAAGGAAGAAAGAAACCAATAAATGCTCTAATACCCTACTAGTGCCCTGTGGATCTCTACAGACCAAGCAAGTGTCCCCAAGAGCTATCTTTTGTCTTGCCCCACCACCTAACCTGGCATAATAATGACTAGCTTGCTCTGCCATATGAAGGCAGAACTCAGGACTCACAGCCCAGGGGTTATGAGAGGAAAACTAGGACCAAAAATAGGCTGGGTAGAGAGATAGTTGGACAGAAAGTGGATTGATGGAGATTTCAGAGGAGGAAGTGATCCATTCTTCTCTGTTTACTATGACCCTGCTCAGTCAGAAAGAAGTAGCTAGGCTCTTTAGTTTAAGCTGTTATCTGCTTTGGAGAAGACAAAGCCAATTCTACAAAATTAAAAACAACAAGAAAACAACAACAACCCATAAAGATGGTGGGGTGTGTGTGTGTGTGTTGGGGGCAGACACTGTATAATTTGTTGTCTAAACTGGGACACGTTTGGAAATAAGAGGGATCATTGTTAATATTTATAGAAGGACAGCAGACCTAAGCCAGGACTGTCCTGGAAAACCAGAATGTATTGTCACCTCAGAGAGACATTGGTAAACCCTGAATGGGGCTGATATTCTTCATTCTCCAAGAAGGCCTGTGGGCAGCTTACTTTTTTAAAGATACTGTTTCTTGGTATCTCCTATTCCCTTAGACAAAGTATCATTTGTGGAAAGAGAACAAGCTGTATTCTTCTTCTTGAATTTCTCTCTCAAAATAGGAGAAAAGTCTGTAAGGGGGAGGTAGGTACAGAAGAATTCCATATTTTATTCCAGGCATCTTCAGATGAATGAGGTATTTTGGTTTTCAGGTTATTTTCCCTTTCTAAATTGGCTATGAATTTCATTATTAGTGAGAGTACAAGGTTTTCTTTTAGCTTTCCTACAAAACCAAGGAGAACTGGGGGCACATAAAGTTTGCAATCTCCCACAAATGAGCCTACATATACATTGCTATCTATATTAAACCTATGCATTCTATTTTCTGTATAAACATTGTTGGACAACATGGCTTTAAAAATGTTGGACATTTGGAGGGCAATAGAGTATTCTGTACCCATTTTTCCTTTAATAAAAAAAGCTTAAATATTTTACTTTTTAAGAGAGGGAATGGGAGTCAGAAAAATCTCATTTTCCTTAGTTTCACTCATTATAGCGCAACTTACTTTGTTTTTCTAATGTTGGCAAACACAAACATAGAGCCTGGTAGATACATTACACTTTCTATGAATATGTTCTAGTAAAATTCAGAGCATTTTCAAGATATTATTTGGGCAAACTAAAATTTCAAAATCAAATTTGACAGTTTAACAAAACCTGATTGACAATGGTTGCACGTCAGGTAGGAATATTTACTGCCTAGTTTCTTCCTGTCTTCCAATAAGTATATACAAAATCTTAAGTTATCCTATTAACATTTTCTTTTTAAAAATATTTATCCAAAGTTTCCTTGTAGTGCTATGTTAGAAACTTAGTTTTATCTTTAACAGATGTATTTACAATATATGAAAGTGTATCTACAATACATAAAAAGTGCCAAGTTTCTAGTCTAATTTTTAGATATATTTTCTTCCCCCTGGGAACTTTTATATGAATGCAAGAAGAGAATAATCATGACTTTATGTGAATATTGAGCACATAGTTCATTTTTTGTTGTAAGTTACTTTTAGGAAATCTTAGTGTTAGAGTTGTTCAATAATAATATACTTTATCAAACTTCATAGGTTAGAATGCAATGAAAATTTACCCCGAATATTAACTTGATTGCCCTTTATTCTACAAATGGCACACCTAAGAACCTCCCTGTCTATGTGGATTCTAACTGTGGCCCAGTTGTCCAAGACAGAATTATAAAACGGTCATTTAGAATATAACAAAAATTAATAAAAATGGAACATTATATTGATGCAATATTTTGCTAATCTATGCAATCAGAATAACATTTTTTCTAAAAAATACTTTTAAGTAAAATAAAAACCAATTTCCTGCACAGCTATTATCAGTATATACTTATAGTTTAATTTCTATTCCATCATGAAAAAGTTAAGAAACTGTGGTTTGGAAACAGGTTCCTTTTTGTTAGATATTTATTTTTGCTTTTTTGGAGACAGGGTCTTGCTCTGTCACCCAGGCTGGAGTGCAGCGATGTGAACATGGCTCACTGCAGCCTTGCCCTCCAGGCCTCCAGCAATCCTCCTGCCTTAGCTTCCCAAGTAGCTGGGACCACAGGCCCACGCCACCACAACTGGCCAATTAAATTAAATTTGTTTTTTTTTTTTTTGTAGAGGCGGAGTCTCTCCATGTTGCCCAGGCTGGTCTTGAACTCCTGGCCTCCAGCAATCCTCCTGCCTTGGCCTCCCAAAGTACTGGGGTTATAGGCATGGGCCACTGTGCCAGATATTTTTTGAAATCCATATTTTCTTGACATGAGGTAGCTTTTTAGCAGCATTTCGGGTGCTGTTCCCCAAACATAGTGTTGTTTGGCATGATACCAGATTGGAGGATATCCTAGTCATCTAGGAGAATTATATTTTGTTGCAGTTGAAGGTGCTGTTCTAGATATACTAATGCAGTGGGAGAGAAATAAAGCAATTTGAGAAGAGGCAGCACTTTTATAGGAAAGAAAATAGATACCCAATCCCATTGCTGATCAATTTCCTCCTACTTAAGCAACATTAGGCTGATTTTAATTATCAATAAGCTATTAATTACCAAAATTTAGAGAACTAATTCAAATTTACTGGATGTTCCTAAATTATTGTTTTGTTATTATCACCTGGTTGGGTGACAAATTTTAATTTTTTCTGTAAAGAATTAGGAAGCATTCAAATAAGAAATTACAGAAAAATTGATAGTGATGCAGAAGGTATGAAGGTATTATATAGGTGCTAATTTCTTAAGTCTAAAAATATAAACCTATGCAAAATTAGCCTTTGGTTCTACCAGCAATTTAAAAAAGCCCGTTGTCTTAATAATTTTAAACTTATGGTAGCAGGACTTGCTCTATCTACCTAACTTGGGGAAAGTAAAAATAAACATATGGCATGGTAGACACATTAACACTTTCTATGAAGGTATTTTAATGGAATTCAAAGTATTCCCTAGATATTACTAAAACAAAGTAAAATTTTAGCAAAAAAACCAAAACCACTTCTACCTACTTATACAAAACTGGCTCTAAAGAGGTAAATGGTGTGATAACTTGAGATGGTGTTCCAGTGGTAATTTTCTCAATACTTTGGTATTATTGTATGTTTAGGTGTCTGCTCTTAATATTGTAAACAAACAATTATGACTTTATCCAGAATAATGATTTTTTCTCATAAAAAGATTCATGTATTAACTAATCTTTTCATTGCGATTAAATTTAAAACTTCTCTAAATCAAACCTAATTTGCATTGACAAGACATCCAGAATACCCTTTGCTGTTTATTTGCAAAGATTTTAAGGAAAATCAGAACTTTTGCTCCTAGAATTTGGAATGCTTTTTAGACTCAGTAGAAATTTGCCTGCCCCAATGGACATTTGTTATGTCAATGTAATCACTGTCTTTGAGAATAAAAGCAGATCTGTAGGGGAGTGTAAATTTGGATCTAAGAATTGTTTTAGGACAAGATTGTTTTACTTTCTCATTTTTAGAGTTAGTTTGAAGCCTACGTAAGTTACATTTAAATTCATACTATTTATGGGATAAATATGATTTGGCTATTTGTCTTAACTTAGATGATTTTTTAATTGCATTTTTCTATTTACTAAAAGTGAAATAAAAAGGAAAAGAAATAAAGAGATAGAGTATAAATACAAGAATATAGCAATTCCCAAACCTAGGTGCACATTGAAATCACCTAGGGATCATTAAAAAATACTGATGCCAGGCACCCATCCAAGGAAATTCTAGTGTAAATTTTATGAGATATGTTATTGGCATTAGCATTTAAAAAGCTCTCCAGGAGATTCTAATGTACAGCCTACTTTGGGAACTACTGTCCTAGGAAATATTAGACGCTAAATGTAAAGTAGAAAGCACAGGGCCTTTCAGAGTTTCAGCTGTAGCCTTGGAGGCTTTGTTATCTCATTGGAGTTAGGACAACTGAAATGTTACAAGTACTTCTGATTGTGATTAAAATTTACCTGATTTTGATTAGAATCTGGCCTGCTTTTTGATCACAGAATTCCATTAAGGAGTTGACAAAATTTTCCATGTCTTTGTGTTTATGTTTTCCTTTGTGTTCTGTAAATTTTTTTAAGGGCCAAGGGATTTTAAAAAATGAAAATTCTAGTACTGTGTCTTAAACCACTAATGAGATTGATGTAGGAGTAACAGGTATTTGGTGTTGGACTTAAGATTATTTATGTTTGAACAAAGCAATCATTTACAAGTATGGCAAGAAAGTAGTGCCTTCTCTTTACCTCTGTTCCGTGTTTTGTAGCACCGTTGCCCTCCCCTCACTTCATCATCAGATATTTCTGGAGAAGAGGCCTAGGACTCTGGGGGGAATTTGGTAAATAACACCCATGCTGATTGTCTGAAACAGTTTCTAATCAGCAATGATTGCTGTAAGATTTTTCTGTGGCAGCTTCAAGACAAAAGGACTCAGGTATGGTGAAGCTGCCTGATACTTACTGAAACAAAAAGGAAGGAAAGTTAGAGGATTTCCTGGCAGATTTAAAATAAATGGGTTAGATAATGCAAAGCTAATCCCAAGTTAATATAAGCATCTCTGATTGCTAGATGGTGGGGTGGATACTGCAACAATATCAAAGAAATGAGAGCAAATCTGCACTTCTCTCTTTAAAATGACTTTTCAGTCAATTTGCTGAAAGGAAGAAGTATCATAAATGATATTCTGTATATCTGATTTACTTTTTTATGATATTAGGTAGGAGAAAAATGAGTCTGAGATGATGAAAATCAAGCAATATGAACAAGTCAAAAAATTTTAAAGTAGAAAAGGTCATTTCATGCTGGCATGATTATTGGAAAAGGTAGGAGTTCTAGGGAAAAATAGGTGTGGACTAATGAGCTGAATAAACAATGGGGCCTGGATTTGTTTTAACCACATCTACAACATATCATATCTATTTCTAGGAAGTCCCCATGGGCTGCAGGGGACAGGAAGATCCTGATCTGTGACAAATCGACTGGATGGAATTTTCAGGCTGAAGAGAGGTTGAAACCACAAAATCTTGGACAGTCTTTCATGAGCTCAGGCCTGCAATCATGCCCCACACAGTGAGCCATGGTGAATGCATTTTGAAAAGCAACCTCCTCCCTTCCCTTTTCCTCTTTGTGACTTTGTGTATCACAAAAGCAGCTGTGAGCCAGAGGTAAGACTCTGGAGTTTACTTGGCTTCCCTTGATTATTACTGACTGCCCAGGTCTGCTCCATCCCTCCCAAATCTTGCCAGCTACAAGATCTCTCTTCACCCTGGCAGGATTTGTAAACATACTCCCCAAACACTCAGGAAGACTGGAAGAACAACTTTTGGGGCAGTGGCTCTCCAGCTTTCTGTTAAACAAAAGGCTCTTTAACATTTGATTTCATTTCAGAATAACGTTCTTACTTCATGATTCTATAATTGGTATAAGCTATACAGTCTCTGGAAAGGCATTTCTTTAGGAAACATATTATTTATGATCATTGGGGACCGAGTTAGAGGTTTATTTCTTTTTTTTTTTTAATAGAGTTTTGTGTGTCTTATTCTTAAATTTAAAAAAGCATCTTCAGAAGGTGCCATATCCATCCCCTCGGGCAGTCACTGCAAAAGTTGGGTAGACCTCATAGGTTGTATATGCTGCTAAGTCTTGTCCAAGGGTTACCGCTTGCTTGAGCTGGGCTGCAGACACGGGTGCAGTTGCATTAGGGACAGCATATCCTGGAGGAAGAGGCAGAGAAAACTTGATGAAAGGAATTCACATTTGCTCCCTTTTGGCTTATTTGTCTTCTTTTAGAAATACGAACATTTAACATATTGCTTAAAGCTAAAAGTTAATATATATGTTTTAAAAAGTGTCCTTAAGGACACAATATGTGGACTCAGTGATTTTCAATGATATTTAAACAGTCCTAGGACAATGTTCCCTAAAGTGGGGTCAACCACCTGTGTCAGAATCACTTTATACTTAAGAGAATTAAAGATGCTTGGGATAGGGTCCAAGAAAGAGAAACTTAACAGGATACTGAGTTGATTAAAGCTTGTGATTTTTAGCGTTTTGAGGGTCTCCAAATTTATAAATGAGAAAAGGTGACTGAGGGGCTGGCTGGGCATGGTATGTGGGGAGGTGGGGATCTGTGGGACTGGTTCTCCTGTAACCCCACACCTGCCTAAATGAAACATTTAAAACATTTGCCTTTACCCAAGAAGATGTGTAAAGACTGGGAGATCAGTAGGAGAAATACTGTAAAGGTTAAGTGTGCTTTTCCATAATACCTTAAAAGCAAATGCCTAACCTGTCCATATTTACATGTAACTATGAATGGCAAAAGCACCTTCTTACCTCCCAAGCCCCTCATCAAGCCTGTGCTTGTTGTATTCAGAGGCCTTGATGCTGGTTCTCCGCCTCAGAGAACCAAAGTATCTGAGAATTAAAAAAATAATCTATGCGCTTTCATGTTAGCATTGTGTCTAGTGGATGAGCATTCACTTTTGAAGAAGAGAGCATATTAGCTACTATCTAAAGCATTATTTCTCTGTATTGTTTTAGTTTAAAACCTGAGTATTTCTGAGATTATCCAGAAATTGTAAAAGATAGCAAGAAAAAGAGAGAAGTATACTTAAGTACAAATGGGCACCTATTTTTCATTGTTGTTTTAAACCCCATTTAGTTTATGTGCAGTAGAAGCCTGCCCAACCCCAGACACATTGATTTTTTTCTAGTGGCTTCTCAGAAAGTGGTGGCAGGAAGCTGGTTGGATTATTTTGAACAAAAATTGAATCCACTCTTGGTGCATTCATTTTGGTCAGTAATGCTGATTAATGCACTAGTGAAGTTTGGTCCATTTTCCAAGGATAGGAGACATGTGTTAACAGTTACTTTCATGGTTTTGGAAACAGTATTTCTAAACTAAGTGAGTAATGTAACTGTGTGAGTGTGTGCACACATGCATGCATGTGTTTGTGGCACAGATTTTACCTTTAGGGATTTTGAATTTTCTTTTTCAACTTGGTCAATTTGTTAAGTGCCAGGGTGTTTGGGTTTCAAACTGATTCTTCCCTTGGAGCCTATTATTCTTTGCTTGACTCCACAGCAAAGTTATAAGAGAGGCTCTCAGATTCTTAGGCATTCCCAAGACAACACTCATGCCCTAAATATTTTTAACTTCTCACAGAAGCCAGTGGAAGTGAGAATAAGATAAAACATTCTTGGGTAAAAGCAAATCCTTTCCAATGTGAAAGCAAACTTTAAAATTCTGACAGTGGCTCATTAGTTTAATAGTACATTTGTTAGGTGTCTTTGGGGTGCAGCTTTCTGTAAGACAGGGGCTCAACTTTCTCTAGGAACTGAGAAGCCCTGGCAGGCATCCTGAGTAAATGGACATGTAAACACCCTGTTATGTGGAAAGCAAGCACTGGCTGCTGGCCCCACACTGCCCAGGAAGGACCTTGCCCTCTGCAATGTCAGCTGTTACCTTGGTAACCTCCGAGGGACTCACCACAGAGCATCTCCATGTTCTTACAGAGAAACAAAGCCAGAATTGAGGTCACTTTCAGATGTGAAACATCATTAATGTTAGCCCCACTGGCCAGAATGGAGGATATATTCAAAACTTTTGAGAAAAAAAACCCCAAAACCAAAAAACACTACTGAGAAGGAGCCCCAGGTGCAGTGGGTGTGAGGAATATAAAATTTTTCACACCTACGCATGGCCAATATATGAATTAATTAATCAATAAGAATATCATGTTTCTAGGTCTACTTAGAGCTCTAATTTGGACTTATGTGGCACACGCTGACACAATGAGAAGTAAAAAATGACAGATTTCTTTAATAAAAATAATCTTTTACTAAAAAAAAAAAGGATAAAAAATTTTCAGCTGAGAAAAAATTTCCTAAACAACTTTCTTGCCTGGTCCCCTTCAATCTCTAAAGGATTCAGTTTTAATTATTACCATTTGTTGTGGGTACATAACAAATGGGGACAAATCTTTTAAAATGTGACCTCTGAAGGCATTGTTGATCCACGGATAGGCTTTGCTTTAAGCAATCAGCATATGCCCCAGACCAAAATTATAGAACAAATAAATTGAGTTGAGTCCTGATTATTCACATATTGAAAGGATCTCTGTCTGTCTCTCACTCTCACAAAATTTTTGACTTTAAAAAATCTTTTTTGAAATCAAATTAATAAAAGTAGATTGAAGACTGGAGAGGGAGAAAAGATTGCTGAAAAGCTAATTGCCAGTGGCCAAATTACTTAATCTTTCTGTATATGGGCTCTTCATTTGTATACCAGACTTTCTGATGGAACCTAACTCTTGGTGGTATCATGAGTATTACTAAGATATTATAACGCTTCCTGACCATTTAAGTGAGTGCCTAGCACACAGTAAGATCTCCAATAAACATCATATATCTATAGGTAGTTTCAAACTCTCGTACTAAAAGTAAAAACCAAAACAAACCAGACTCAGAGAGACTGACTCATTCAAGATCACACAGCAGTTTAAAGCTGAGCCGAGACCAGAACCCACTCTGCTGCCCAGCTTGATTTTCTTGCCTCGTGTTTTAATGAGTCACTCATTTGGGAAACTCTTTTTGGTCCCAAGGTTGTGCAAGTCAGATTGCTGTAAGTAGGGTACACAAACATTTCTGTGATTCAATGGTACCAAAAAAGGGTTTCCCAAATACTCTCTGCAGGGCGCCATTTCTGGCACAATTTTCCCATACCTGGGAAAGCAGTAGCAGCAGCAGCAGCAGTAGCCATGGTGCCATCGCCTCCATCAGTGGGGATGCCCAGGGTCTGCAGGGTGTATTCGGCTGCATACGTCTTTGCTTCATCCACAAAGGCACTCAGCTTTGGAGGTGTGAAAGGGTGGCTGGAAAGCAAGTCAGTCAGGGTAGGCATTTTTAAACTGGTACAACTGAGTCAGGTGAAAACTTAAGGCACTATCAGCTTTGTAAGATGACTGGATGGTGGTATTTTGAGTGGGTGTTTTTCATTCTGTTTGCTATTAAAGCTTCTAAATATAGGTTGCATGTAGAAATATTTACAAATTGATCTAGAACATCAGTGGTTGATGACATTCCTGGGACATACAAGTAATTCACTACATGGCTTTTCTAAAGCACAAGTGAAACAAATTGTTCCTAAAATATATAGAAATGCAGGCTCAAGGTAAAATTCAGGAGGTGATATCCACTAACAGAGAGGTCATATCTTTGGTCCAAAATTAAATGATGGGCCATTGTCTTATTATGTATAAAATGGTAGTTTCATATGCTTCAACCTAAACACTGCACAGATGAAAGAATGGGCTATAGCTTTGTTTGTTTGAAATGGAGTCTCACTCTATTGCCCAGGTTGGAGTGCAGTGGTACAATCTAAGCAAACTCCACCTCTCAGGTTCAAGTGATTCTCCTGCCTCAGCCTGCTGAGTAACTATGACTACAGGCGCCTGCTGAGTAACTATGACTACAGGCGCCTGCCTGTACCGGCTACTACATCCGGCTAATTTTTGTATTTTTAGTAGAGACGGGGTTTCACCATGTTGGCCAGGTTGGTCTCAAACTCCCGACCTCAAGTGATCCAGCCAAGAATGGGCTATAGTTTTTATTTCTATTACATTTTACACTACTGACTGTTATCCACTGGCTGGTGATACTACACAACCTTCATTGTGTATATGAAATTTGGGGGCCTTTATATGCTGGTTTCATGGCTGGCACATCCCAACTACACATCTCAATATTTGCATTGAATGACAAATGAGTAGGTAGTAGACCTCAGTATCTTGTTTAGATGGTGACTAAATGCATTTAATTTATAAGTGTATCCTGCTCTAAAATGGTAAGGAATTTGGAGAAGTTACGCACATTGCAGGATTCTGGCTGGCTAGAGCAGGAATAGTTATTTTGTACAAGAATAGCTGTCTTTGGTCTTGTCCAATAGCAGAGTGCAGCTGGTACACTGGCTGTCCCCAGTTATTTTTCTGACAAATCTCTTCTAATATCTACAAGAATAAAAAAAGTTATTTCCCCCTCAAATGACACATTCACATTATTTCCCAAGTTTTCAGGTTTTTAAACTCTAATTTTCAGAGTTCAAGCTAGTATCTGAAGACATAAAATGCCACATGATTTAATGACTCATAAAATTTAAGATGAACTCAATTTGAACTCCATTTAAAATGTTAGGTCTATTAGTTCATAAAATCACTTTCACACCATTTACTGTAATATGTTTTTAGTTTAGTCTATTAGCTGTAACTTTTTACCAAAAGCTTAATTTTATGATTTGTTTGGAATATTTGTTTTTGTAAAAATTGTTGCTCCAACACTGTGTGTATAGATTTGTATAGATTTACTCATTATTACTCTCAATCTCTGTGTTTATAATGGTTTAGAGATGATAGCCTAAGAATATATTTTTATTTCGTGACATTTGTCATAGGGTTTTAATCTCACAATTTCATAAAAATAGAATTAAAAAGTTTAATGCTTGGTATTTATCGAGTGTTCCTAGATGGGTGTTGACAGTTGCAATGTTTTTATTTGTTTGGTAAGACACTATTTCTGCCTTTTTTGTTTGTTTGTTTGTTTTTTTGCTTAATGACAATATGCTTTTTAGCATCCTCCTGCATGTTTTTTCTTCTGTAATTACTCCAAACTGAATATTTTCTAAAGATTCATAGTTTCTTTATTCTGAAGCCATTTTTGGTTGTCCAGAGGTCCTGATGCTCTCGTTAGTCAGCAGATTCAGTAGACTGTGGAAAGCAGGGCATAAGCCTGAGAAAATAACTCTGTAAGACAGAACAATGTCTCAGGATGTGTCTCTGAGGTTTCTTACCTCATTTATGCTAACTAACCCAGCTGCAATAGCATGATATTTTCCAGTTTATTAATTTGTAGATTGTTACTGTTTTTTCTATTGATATTTTCTTTTTAATACTCTTGTTGTGTAGGATCTCTTGTAATCCTCAGAGCATTCTCTACAGTTCTTGGGCAATAATAAAGGAGCTTTTGCTGGTAGATATTATGCCTGCTTGTTTATGCCAGGTGAGCAAACCTGGGCGGAAGGAACACCAGCTCTCACTGCTGACTTTGCAGGAAAGGGCTTGTCTCTCTGCTTCTGGCTGGAAGTTCACAACTCTACTTTGGGATTGTTTAGGCCCCATCTGTGTTGGTTGGTGGTGGCATGGTCTTCATTTCTAAGCCATAGTTGTAGAAGGTCAGACACAAATTAAAGAACTTTTATTAATTGATAGAGATTGTTACTCACATACTAATAAAAGACATGATGAATTTCTAACTTGAGTTTAATGTAAAATGAAGAGATCTCTTTTCATACTATTGCAGCTCTCGGAACTATTATTATACAGAATTTGCGACTATTATTTTTTATTTTCTTAAAATATTTCTAAGTATTCCAGTACTTTAATCAGGTTTTTTGTTTTGGGTTTTAACCTAAGAGAAACTGGATGAGTGGCTTTTATATTTTCTGAACAAACTTCATCATATCACTTCCAGATTTCATTATATGTTTACGTGTCAGTTTTTTCCCACTGGATTGCCATCTAATTTTTCATGATAAGGATTTTGTTATATTCACTTCTACATCTCCAGCACCTAGCGCACTACATGGTGCATAAGAGAAGTTTACTAAATCTTATGTGAACAAATGATTGCTGTTTAGCAGTCTGATAGGCATTTTTTTTAAAATTCCCTGGGTGGGGCTAGCAGAAACCTTAGATAAGCTAATTTGTGCATAAAAGAAAGCCAGAAATCCCATTAAAAAATTACCCAAGATGAGCTTTTAGAAAACCAGTTTTCTTCTGGATTGAAATTATAAGGGCTACTTCCATAAATGTGAGGCTATAAGCCCACCTTTGTCATGGGAATAGGGAAGTTTCCTTCAAGATACACAAACTGTAACTCTGATTATTCAGCCAAAATGTATTTCAGAGAGATCAGCACCTATCACACTCCCACAGGGAACAGTCTCAGGGTTAGCATAGACTCTGTTTTGTTTTATTTTTAACCCCGGGAGTCAGTTTCCATATTGAAACTTTTATAGCTTTTAATTTTCCAATAATAAAAACCACAGGTTAATGTTGAAGTGTGGAAACTTAGAACTGTTAAATGAACACAGTAAAAACTCTCTGTAATGCCACTGCCAAAATATAACTATGGAGGAAGAGTTAATTTGGTATGACTGATGACATCTCATAGTTAATAATTCACCCAGATATCATGGTGGAGTTTTCTCTTAGATACAGTATTTCCAAGAAAAGATGTCCTAAATGGTCTATTCAGGGCACTGCCATAATACTCTTCATTTGCCAGCCAACCTGGCTCACATACAATAGGCATTTATTCTGAGATGGGGTCTTTGCCTCATTTCGGGTATGGGTTGATAATTCTTAATAGCTCTCAGATTCTTTGCATTTCAGTGGAATATTGTTCAAGGTGTTAGACTTTATGATTTTTTAAAAAAGAGAAAGGACCTATAATAGAATAATGGCACCAGATGCCCAGCATTCCTTCAAAGACTGTGACATTCATTGGATGCTTTATATATTAAAAGAAAAAAACCCATAGCTTGAGTAGGGATCAAGTCAAATCATTTGATAAAAGTGAATGATGCTCATTGGCACAACTTAAAGAAACTATTTCTGGAATAACATTACCTACCTGGGGAGCGAGTTTAATTCCTTGGGGTTTTAATGTGACAGGATTCATTGGGGTGAGCTCCATCCCAGGTAAAATGTCATAGAGTTTGTCTTCTCTTTTGTCTCCTTTGACCTGGTATCCTCGACCCAGGCCTGTGTATGCCAAATAGCCACGGCCGCCCAGTCCTCTCACTCCCGCAGCCCCTACAGGTACATTCATGTAAATTTCTAGGAACGTAAGAAGGCATTAAACTGAATCAAACCACCAGAAAATCACCCTGAATCTTACTGTAATGGAAAAGTTAGCCCAATTCACGTTGATTATTGCCCTGAAGATGGGTGGGAGACTCTAGGATTCTAATGTAATGAAACTCAACATAAGGTAAGGTTTAACATAGGTGTCTCTCTTTTTTGAAAAACTACCTTCAGAAGAAAACAATGCCATTGATAAATACAATACTATTGATAAGTACACAAACAACTTAAAAATTTTGGGATAGAAAATTTGCAATTTTTGTCTTTAGGTAACCTTGATATTTTATACAGACTAATAAAGACTGGGAATGTATTTATTAGAACATTCCAACATAATGCGACCACTTATTTTGAAATCAGTCTTGCATAGAGACTGTCACTGATCAGTATATCAGAAATAAATTCTGGCTTCCCTAATTATCCCACTTCCAATGACTTATTGTAAAACAAACATTTAGAAAGCATGCTTTTAGGTTCACCATGCTCTCTGATGTTCGGTCAATGTGAGGCTTAAATTTCCATTGAGTTTCATGCATAGATTCCTTTTGATTTTTGTTTTGCCATGTTACTACTTTGATTTTATATTGGTGGCATAGAGATAAAAAATTAAATTGATTACCCTTCATCCATGAATATCATTCATTGATTCCTTTCTTGTTATAAGATAGGCATTTTTTCCCTTATAGTGGAGTTTGTTTTTTTTCGACATCATAACTGGTTGACAATTTGTATTTAATGTATGGATTGGTTAATGAGGTGATTTTATATTCTAAATGCATAATGTTGCAATGATATAATTTATTATCACATAGACAAGTTACCTTAAAGGAAATCTTGATTATTTCATTTGCATTACAATTTTGGGGCAAGTAATTATGAGTATGAAACTTTTAAGGCTGTTGAAGACTAGAGCTCCTAATATGATCAATTTAGTTATACTGAAAAGTAGTAAAACATAGTAAGATAATTGTTTCCACAGTAATCTAGATGTGCCTTTTTGCTTCTAAGTCAAACCCAAGAATAGACTTAAATGCACAGTTTATCGAATTGCCCAGATTCATGTCGTATTTGGAGGATAGAACTGGGATTCAGTTGGCATTAGCCACATCCTAGAAAAACTCATCTGAAGGAGCCAAAAAGACAGGGACAAGCTAGTTTCTTGGAAATAGAATAAAGGCTTTCTTTATCTTCTAGCTTTCTTGAAGAAATGGAGCTTGGAAAACTGCTCAAACATTTAGAATTCTTACAGGATTCAAATGTGAAATATTTATTGTTTTATTAGCAGTCTGATTGAGGGTTTTTTTTCTATTTGTTGTTCAGTTCTCCATGTATTAAAGAAATATAGTAATGTCCTTAATTATTTGGCTTCTAAGAAAGTATAACATATTTCCTGGAGGAGGTCAGATGAGAACATCTCATATGTCTGTTAGATTATATTTATAATAATTTGTGATTTACATATTAAGACAATGCCACTGAGTCACCATCAAATACACACATGCCTTGAAAGGGTTTTGCTATTTGAGGTAATTGGTTTCCACTGGACTATACTAGTCTATTCCAGAAGTGTTGTAATGAGCCACAGATGACTACACAGTGGTGGACAAGTGATATAGAAGAAGCTAACAATTATAGAACTAGGTTTTAGTTTGTGCAAATTTTATGGGCCCATGCAAAGTTTGAATCTGTGCACTAGGCTCATTTGCACAATGTTCTGATGACGTTTTTTCAATAACCAGTTGTAATGTGAAAAAGATTCCTATTAAAGGAAAACTATTGATATAATAGTTGATTTTTAATAAACAATTTTTCAGTGCTTTTCTCCAAGTGGACCCATCCAATGTATCTAAGGCTACTGCAATTTGAGTCATTTGAAATCTTGGGATTACTCTAAAGCAAGATCTGACTGGTGTTACCTCTAACAGAAGGGGCTCGGATAATGGCTCTGTTGCTGAGATGTCCTTTGGTGGCTGGGAAATGAAGACTGGGAATTGCTGCATAGGTCTGGGGGGCATAGAAGACAGGAGCTCCAAGGTAGGTTGTGGTGGGATCATAAACTTGGCCCAAAGAGTAGGTATACTCTCCTTGCAGCATGGTGCCCCTTCCACCTGTGCCTCGGGTATACCTAACATAACTGTCCTTGTCCACTGGTTTTGCTAGGGTGACTTCAATGGGGGAACCATCCAGCACCTGTTGTAGAGAGCAAAGAAATATCAACGCGAGATGATATGAAGATAACCAAGTGTGGCTGAGCCCTAATAACATGACTCCTTCTAAGTGTTAGACTATTTGCTGTAGGTTTATTGATTGTATCTTGTCATTTTATAGGTTTGTTTTGTATGCCAGTTGAACTTTTTCTGAGCCATTTTGTTGGTAAGTTGCATAAGATGCCAACAGGTTTGACAGTGACATATTGGCCAGTGTCCATTGACATATTCATTATAAATTTACAATCTGGTTACAGTCACTGAGACAGAAAGTTATGTAATATTTTTATTAGGTCATATATGTGTTTTAAATTACATATTTATATAATTATATAACTACAAGACAATTTAGGTTTGTTATGGATGGTATAAAATCTCCATTACCTTGCACAATAAGATGAAGGTGAAAGGAAACCAATAAAGAAATCTTATCAATTATTAGCATTTAGCATGGGCAGCCAAATCAGGCCCTTCCAGCTGATAGCCCGCTAACTGTCTTGCTCCTTAGAGCAGCCACACAAGTAAGTTTTCACTGGAGAAGAGAGACATACTGTGGCTCTACCAAAGGAAGAGGAATCTGGGAGGCTGTTGCATTGCCTGCCACAGGTTCTTCCTTGTGAAGCCACCTTTTGATCTGCTGAACAGTTGGGAGCTAATAAACAGGGATGACAGGGGTCAGGAGTAGTTGGGAGTGAGAGTAGTATTGAGGTTCTCAGATCATGCACTGCTTAAAACCTGTCCTTAAGAATTCTGACACAAATTCTGAGACTGCAAACAGCTCCAGATGTCAAAGATAATGGATGTATGTAGATCTACGTGTGCTACTAACTTCTATGTATTGCTTGCCTACACAATAAACAATGATGGCTCTCAAGAAATTCTTGATAGATTGATGTATTTATTATCAAAGGAACAAAGTATTGTCTGAAAGCATTTGTGGCTTTGTTTTTGAATAAGAATGTGAAGATCCTCTGTTTTATATAAAGAACACTTTTATGTAAAGTGTTTCTACAGAAATTCCCATTCACAGCAGCTGAGTGTGCACCCTTACCCTCTGATTTCAACAGTGACTCAGTGGTTCCTGGATTATTGAAGTCTGCTGGACAAAGCTTGTGCTTCATGGTCATCCTGACCATTTTGTTCAGCCTCTTGGTCAATTTGTCCCCAGTATTATGTATTTACCTTACTTTTTAGTAGCAGGAGCCAGTGTCAAATAAGTTAGATGGAATACTCTGAGAGACAGACAGAATCCAGCTGATATTCAACAATCTTATATTGATGTTGATGTAATTAGAAAAAGTAGACCTGGCATACTGAAAATAGGGGAGGAACTTGGGTATAAGATTCTTTATATCTTCAGTCCAGTCTTGAGGAAGATGAGAGACCCAAATAGGTCTCTGCTTATAGGCACTTCCATATCAAGAGATGTTTTGCATGGAATGATTCTTTGCGGCAAATTCAGATATCTTGTAACAAATTTTGTTCTGCCTTCCTTTGTCCCATCCAAAAGCATTTTAAATTCAATATTGTATTTTAGTTATTTGGTTTAGATATTTCCAGAGCTAGGACAATATCTTATTAATCTGTATAGCCCAAGCTTAGTAAAATTTCTTTCACTTCATAGACTTACAAAAAGAATAAATGAATAATCATTCTGAAGCTCAATTCATCATTTTTCTCTCTGAATAGGCTTCCCTTCCTGACTTTCATAACAACCTACCATATTGGAAGCTTATAATGACTTGTCCTTCTTTTTCACCCCATCTCCAATCAGTTCCTGCGTCCTTTGAATTTATCCCTTACTGTTCTGCATATGGCTGTCTCCTACATTCCATTCCTACCTAAGTTCAAGACTTTATTTTGTCCCATTTGGTTGACTATAATAGCTTTATAACTAGTTTCTATGACATGTTTCTCTCACCTGTATTAAAAAGTCAGTTCTTACTAGGCTAATTTTCCTAAATTGTAAATGTGATAATTATCGTAGAAAAAATTTCAAGATCTCACTTCATCTAACAAATTAAATATAAATATCTCTATATATGCTCAAAAACCTTCATAGTTCCTAGGAAAACTTACTTTTGATTTTTCCATACCACATTATAGTCAAATATAATATTAAATATATATTTAACTAAATAATATGTGTAAATAATTACTCTAAAAATATCTAGCTGCAAAAATTGGGAATTTGAATATGTTTCAATTGTAATTATTCCAACGTAATTTTTGGCATTTAATTTGTGATGGCTGTTCCTTCCCAGCAATCATCATGTATACTCAGGAATGTTTCCATATAGAGAAAATCTAACTTACAAATTGTTTTCCAAGTAATAACACTTTTATGATACTAAATGTGATCATCAATGAAGATGAAATAATGCTTTTCTTTATAGACATGTATTTATGCATTAGTTTTTCTTTGCAGTTTTCTTTTTTGTATTTCAGAGTGAATACTTTCTCCACCCCACCCTCCAGTATTCAAACTTTTTGAGTTTGAGTGGGCCCCTGAGGAGCTAATATGCAAGAGGCTCCACAGTGTCTGAAGGGCCTAGGCTAAGAGATCCTCCCTTTGCCATCTGGATCCACTGCCTATGGAATTCACCACCTACCAGCTCCAGCCTGCTCTCTGCTCTGGGAAGCTGTTCTACATGGGGTCCTCTTTAGCCTTCTAGATTGTGATTGCATTTAGCCAATGGGGAACACTGGTAGGAGGTTGGAGAAGAGACAACAGTGAATTCGGGGCATTTATTCTGCTGGACCCGTCTTTGAGAGGTCACCTTGGGCTGACTGTGTCCTTTGACCAAAATCACTGCTTCTTTCTTTTCTCTTTTCTTTCTTTCCTTAATGGTGGGGTCTCACTCTGTTGCCCAGGCTGGAGTGCAAAGGCACAATCATAGATCACTGCAGCCTCAGCCTCCTGGGATCAAGAGATCCTCCCACCTCAGCCCCCGGAGTAGCTGGGACTACTGTAGTAGTCCATGCTACCATGCTCGGCTAATTTTTTGTAGAGATGAGGTCTTGCCATCTTGTCCAGGCTGGTCTTGCACTCCTGGGCTCAAGCAATCCTTCTACCTCAGCCTCCCAAAGTGCTGAGATTACAGGTGCGAGCCACTGCACCCAGCAACTTCTTGCAAAGAGATCTGCTCTACACAATTCTCTCCCCTTTCAGGATTTCTATTAATTCTCCAGCCCCTTGTACCTTTGACTCCAGAATGCTGTGAGCCCCAAATTCTGACACTCTTTTTTGATTTCCCTAGTCCCCACTCGCACTTTTGTAATTAATTCCTTTGCTATTTGTTTTCTTTTGGGACCCTGACCGATGCCAGATCCGATAGGTAACACAGTCCCACGTGCATTATGTTCCAGCCAAGTTACTCCACATTTTCCTGTTCTCCAATCTTGTCTTGCTCTTCTCAAATTCTGTGCCTCTAAGACTTCCTGTCTTTCCATATTTTGATTTTTGAAATTATACCCAATTTTCGTGGCTTCTCTTAAATATTATCTTCTCATATCCATGAAGATGTTTTATTCTTTATAGCCCACTTCTTCCTTTGAACTTGCTCACCACGTTTATCTCTCTTTATGATATTTACTTGCCTATACTTTGCACGAGTTTGTGTAGTTGTCTTATTCCTCCAACCAACTTTTAACTCTTTGTCAAACATCTTTGATTCTCTTTGTATCCTAGCATGATAAGTGGTCTACAGAAGGTTTTAAATGTTTATTGGCTTGATATATAAATATTATATTGCTTTCTGTAGACAACTCAGTAGTGAGGATATAGAAGCTTCCCCAGCCCCTACTCTTGGCAAGGTGAGAGACTCTAAGCTTTCCAAGTGGAAGATCAAACTATGAAGGCAGAATAACAGCTATCTTGACATGTTTTTAATTCATCAGCTTCTAAAATACTGCACTAAAATGATGATAATCTCTTTGAAGTAATGAGAGAAAACTGGAATTGTGAAAAACATCTTGAAATAATCTACTTAAATCTCCTCTTTCCATGGAAATTGAGGGCCAGTGACTTGTCCAAATTATAAAAAACAAATAGAGGTAAAGTTGGATATATTAGGTACATCTCCAACTTCCATTGTATTTTCCATCATTTCTCTTTAGTACATCTTAAATGGACTGAGGCAGCCATGTCAGAGAAGGCTGGAGTGAGACAGGCTTGCAGGACTGTGCTTTTGGATGTAATATCCACACCAAACTTGGATGTAATCTGCATATTTTTTTCTTTCTTCTACCTTACCTTGCCATTTAAAGCTTTCATAGCCTCAACTGCATCTTCTCGGTTACTGAAGTGCACAAAAGCATAGTCTCGAATTTTCTTCACCCTCTCCACAGCACCTGTAAAATAGAGTGAAGGTTGCCCCATTAACAAAATTAAGAGAGCCTTGAAAGTGATATATTTTAGCATCTAGCTGCAAAGAGTATTTGATTTTTTTTATGGATACCTCATATTTAAGTAAGGATCTCATCAAGAACATTCAACAGAAGATTTTTTTTGCAGTTTTTAAAATAAAATTTATATTCTGACTTATTATAATTTGTTATGGATTTGTGTCTTCCACTTCCTAGATTACAAGGTGTCTAAGGGTGGGAATTCCATCTTCTTTTGCATTTTATGTAATGTAAAAGATAGTACATTTTGCATGGTAAAATACTTGTTGAATTGAGTTGAACTCAATTATTGATCATTTTACAAACATATATTTAGGTGATTACTTTTGCTTTTCACCCCAGCAAAATGTCTTTATCTCTTTTGTCTTATGTAATTAACTTTAAATTACTTTTAAAAATTTAAATATTAGGTAACTACAGTTCTGACAAGGGAACTGAGATTTAGAGTGCACACAGAGAGGAACTACAACTGGATTCTCTATATCCTTATCCAATAATCTTTAAATAAAAAACAAAAAGAAGAAAAAGAAAGTTGTTTCCGAAAGAACATCTGGGAACAAAGATAAGTTGCCTGCCTTGCTGTCATGATAGCTAAAGATTGGAAACAATGTAAATATCTACTATTCTACTTTGAGTAATGTCTCTTACAGAAACACTCACACACATGTACAAGGATCATGCATAAGGATATCAATTACACTACTGTTGAAAGAGCAAAAATAAAACAATTTAATGTCTATTTTCATGAGTGATTAAATCCGCTGCATTTATACCAACACGAAGGAGTCTATAAAGAAAATAGACCTGTATGTTGTTACATGGAAAGATTAGAGACCTATTTTTTTTTTTCAGACGGAGTTTTGCTCTTGTTGCCCAGGCTAGAGTGCAATGGCGTGATCTCAGCTCACCGCAACCCACCCCTCCCTGGTTCAAGCGATTCTTCTGCCTCAGCCTCCCGAGTAGCTGGGATTACAGGCATGCATCACCATGTGCCTGGCTAATTTTGTATTTTTAGTAGAGAAGGAGTTTCACCATGTTGGTCAGGCTGGTCTCGAACTCCCGACCTCAGGTGATCTGCCTACCTCGGCCTGCCAAAATGTTGAGATTACAGGCATGAGCCACCGTGCCTGGCCCAAGACCTATTGTTAATTTTTAAAAAGTTATAAAATAGTAAGTACAATATTACAGCATTTGTGTTTTTAATAATCCAAAACCATATATATGTGCACACAAATATAAATACACTCATACAGAAAGTGAACTGAAAAGATAGAGACCAAACTCTTAACAGAGGTTACTTCAGGAATGGGGAGAAAAGTTGGGAAGAATGAAGGAGGTTTTCATATTTTAATTGATATATTTGGTATTTTACAAATATTTGCAAAGTTTATTTATATTATTTGTGTAGAAAACCCAAACAAACCAACTATCTATTTTTATGTAAGGGAACTGCTGAACATGATGGCAACATATAAAAATGAAAAAGATAGTTGTACCGAGATAGTTGGATGTTATATTTTTAAAATGTTTTTCCTTACTCAATTTTAAAAATAGACCTTTTGCTTAGAGTGAAGGTAAGGTGGAAATTTGTTTAACCACTATTAGTTTAGCATGCCAATTATCTTCTTTAATCCCTACACTCACTTGGGTGTACCTTGAGAGTGCCGGGAGACAACATAGGATGAGACATTATGCCAGGGAAAAGAAGAGGGGGAAGTCCTTTCTGTCCTTATCAAAGTTTCATTATCTTCTTAGATTCAAGGTAACAAAGGTAATTAGAGTTTTTACTCTCCCACGTGGTTCAATGACTAAGAATTATCTTCCTTTGGAATGATAGTCGGCCTGTAACATAAGGACAATTTAAAGACATTGTGATACTTCTCTTTTCACTCCCTTCAACAGTCGACCCTTGACTTCTTATGGCAATGGTTATACAGAGCAAAATTATCTGGCCAGGCTAAGGATAAATAAAGCTCTCTGAGACCATGAAGCATGAGACATATAATTAACTGAATATCCAATATAGTCTCTTCATTCCTTTCAGTGTCACATGGGGTGATGATCATGACTTAATCCCATGACTTGTTTTAGTAACTGAGAAGGAAGACGTTGGCCAATGATGACCTTCACCTTTCCAGTCTTTGCTTGGTTCATATTTCAATGTCATTCTCCACCTAGGCTCACTGGTCTGTTATCTCCCTGAGAACAGGACCCTCTTCAGAGACTTCTTGGTATCATCTTCACCTGGTTCCTGCCTACTGCCTTGGACACAGGAGCTACTCTATAAATACACATGGAATAAGGGAATATTATCAGTTAATTCACATCCCAACTTCTGTCATTTACACCAGTTAGTGGCATTTGAGATGATAATGAATTTAGATTTTCTGAAATTCTGTTTGCAGATATCTGAAATTATCTTACACTGTTGGACGATAACTTCCAGATGCATCTGGTTTTGGAAAATTTGATATTTAAAAACTTAGCCTCATAAAACAGACAAGTTAAAAAGTTAGAGTCTGTGTCATAAAAGTTGGTTTTCTCTACAATAGTATTCACCACATGGCTTATTTTATTATGTTTCTTCTTTAGTGCATAGGAGTTTGTTTAATAATTGATCCTCATTTGGCAGAGGGTGAGTCCATAGAATATGAGTGATCATTATTACTCAATCATCCATTAGCAAAGAAGAAAAAGATCCTCTGAAATCATGATGCAAGGAATTGGAAAATTATTGCTGTGTTTCTTATCAACTTGTCAGCAACACATAAACCTGAGGAGAAACACACCTGCATGCCAAAGGGAAGGTTATCAGAGGGTCATGGTTCCCGAAGTGTGGTGCCCTGACCAGCAGAATCCACTTTGCCTGGAAACTTAATAGAAATGGAAATGCTTGAACCCACCCATGATGGGCCAAGCAATCAGTGATTTAACATGCCCTTCAGGTGATTCTAATACTGCTAAACTCTTGTAGGAAGATCAGATTTTGTAGAATGACTATAATTGGAAATTCAGCAGATACCCTTAGGCTACAGTGGGGAAGAACAAACCATCTTCAGGTCTCAATTTTTGTTCTAATTATCTTTTGTGTCTCTCAGTGGCAATATAATATTATTCAAGTTCATCATGGTTAAACTGATACGTGGTCAAATATTTTGAGGTAATATGTAGGTTCCTCTGAGGGACCTAAACTTTAAATGGAATTTTTAGAGTCATTTTTCTGTTTGTTTCCAGAAATTTTTCTAGATAAGTATAGCCTTGGCACAGTACATACTTTCCAAGATAAACTAGTTAGCTCTGACTTTTCCCTCTTAATGCAGCAGATGTCTGCTAGTTGTTCACGTTCTGAAATTCATATTTTTTTTTGCAGAGGGCCACGAAGAACAAGCCATACATCATTATATAGCCCTGAGAGTTGTGCCACCAGCTGCAGACTGTGCCCTGAAATCGCTGGACACACTTTAGTCCCAAGAAGAAAGAGAAAGTGAGAGAGTGAGCAAGAGAGAGATATGTGATGTTCATTATTTTCATGATAATTAGTAGGATCCGGGCACACATGTCTCTTTAATATATGCCAATACGCAGACTGGGAAAGCTGATAATCAGGGACTAGGAAAGGAAGCAGCCTTTTAGTAGTTTCTCATTCTAGCCCTTGGCAAAAAAAGGTGCTGTTTTAATTAGATAAAAATAAGAAGTATTATTCACTCTGGGAAGGTAGAAAGTCAACATGGAATGAGGGGAGAATAGTGGGCAATATTTATACACACATAATGTTCCTATGCCTACAACTGCATCAACATTCAGATCTCAGCTTAGATGTCGCTTCAAAACACAAGTCTTCTCTGCACTCCAAGAGTAGTCTGTCAAAGCTGTATTTTTCTGGAATTTCTTAAACTTTTTCCATGCACACATCATACTTGTTTGTTCCTTCCACAGTGCCTGGCATGTAGGAGCTACTGAAGGAAAGACAGTTGAATGAATGAGTGAGTGAATGGAATAAGGAGGCGGCATGAGAGTATTAAAGTTTTTAAGAACATGCCCTTTACCAGACCTGAGTTCAAATCCAGGATCTGCGACCTGCTAGCTGTGTGAACCTGGGCAAACTACTTAACTACTCTGGGTCCTGTTTTTCTTATCTAGAAAGTAATGGAATGAATAAAGCAACCTGTATTATAGGGTTGTGATGAATAAATGACACATGCTGTGAAAGTGCCCACTGCAATGCTTGGCACACAGTAAGGTGGTCCATCATTTGCAGATTCTAGCTTAGTCATGGATTCACAGCTGTTGGTGTGGAGCCACACCCTCACACTAATATTTCAGGGAAGGCAGAGTCCCTGAGGCTGGAGAAAGATCTTTGGTGAATCTTTCAAAATGGAGCAGTGACATCCTTCCTGAATGTCCTTCAGAGCAAATCATCAGCTTATCATTCTGTTCTATCTGAAGTAGCACCCAGAGTTGGAAACAGACGATGTGAGTATGTGCAAGTGAATATTCTTAGGCAGCTTTAACATGACAGCACCATGGCCCACCCTTATTAACAACCTAGATAATTTGCCAGGAGACTGGGAAATTCTCAGTTATGAAAGGATATTACTACTATGATAACCCTAAGCCACTACTGCCCAGAGTGTGTTTAAAGACACAGTAATCCCACAAAATGATATGGCAAAAAAGAGCAGTCATGTTTCAGAAACTTGAAAAATGAAGATTTCTGCATCGCTTCTTGGAGAATTTCAAAGCATGTTAGAAGGCAAAAGACTTTGATAAGTTCCATAATGAAGAAATTCATTTAATTTTGCAGAATCTGGTGTTTACAAGCTTATTTGACCATGGAGCCCTTTTATCAGCAACATCCACCAAAAGATTGTAGAATTAATGTTCTGAACTGTTTTTGGGAAATGGTAATTTGGATATTGTTTCCTGAAATGCTCTACCTCTCTCAGTGTTGTAGCTCCTATATGGAGAAGAAAGAGATGGGGAGTCAATCTGATGGCTTAGAATTGATACTGAAAAGTATTGACAAGATGAGTAGCAACTAACTATCCCCTTCCACCTTCCCTCTATTCCTTTCCCTTCCTCTTCACTCAAATCAGTTTCCTAGGATTGTCACCTTTTTACTTATGTCACAAGTGTATTCCATTAGGCCAGTGGTTCTCAACTGGGGGCAATTTTGCCCACCCGTAGAGTATATTTTGCAATGTCTGAAGGCATTTTTCGTTGTCACATCTTGGAGGTTGCTACTGGTATCTAACAGAGACAGGCCTGGGATGCTGCTAAACATCCTACAATCCACTGGACAGACCCCCACAGCCAAGAATGATCTGTTCCAAAATATCAATAGTGGTGAGGCTGAGAAACCCTGCATCAGACCTATGGTTATGGCATGCATTCTTCATTACAGTAAATATTTATTGAGCAATCATTGTACCCCAGGCCCAGAGATTAAATGTCTGAAGATGGAGGAAACAATAAGAGGGGAAAAACTCATGAAATTTATAGTTTAGTGAAGAAAATAGATATTCATTAAATAATCACATAGATAAGTATGCAATTATAATATTGATAAATGTTGTAGGACCACATGGCTTGATTTTCTAATCCAAAGTTAGGAACATAGTTTGAGAGGTCTGCATGGAATTATGAGATGAACTAAATAAAAGCATTTCTATTTAAAGTTATGGGAAGTCATCTCAAGCATAGGTGCTTTTAAAGAATGTTTTGATCTCTCGGCAGAAACTCGACAAGCCAGGAGAGAGTGGGGGCCAATATTCAACATTCTTAAAGAAAATAATTTTCAACCCAGAATTTCATATCCAGCCAAACTAAGCTTCATAAGCAAAGGAGAAATAAAATACTTTACAGACAAGCAAATTCTGAGAGATTTTGTCACTACCAGGCCTGCCCTACAAGAACTCCTGAAGGAAGCGCTAAACATGGAAAGGAATAACCAGTACCAGCGACTGCAAAAACATGCCAAATTGTAAAGACCATCCAGGCTAGGAAGAAACTGCATCAACTAATGAGCAAAATAACCAGCTAACATCATAATGACAGGATCAAATTTACACATAACAATATTAACCTTAAAAGGTAAGTGGGCTAAATGCTCCAATTAAAAGACACAGACTGGCAAATTGGATAAAGAGTCAAGACTCATCAGTGCGCTGTATTCAGGAAACCCATCTCACATGCAGAGACACACATAGGCTCAAAGTAAATGGATGGAGGAAGATCTACCAAGCAAATGGAAAACAAAAAAAGGCAGGGGTTGCAATCCTAGTCTCTGATAAAAGAGACTTTAAACCAACAAAGATCAAAAGAGACAAAGAAGGCCATTACATAATGGTAAAGGAATCAATTCAACAAGACGAGCTAACTATCCTAAATATATATGCACCCAATACAGGAGTACCCAGAGTCATAAAGCAAGTCCTTAGAGACCTACAAAGAGACTTAGACTCCCACACAATAATAATGGGAGACTTTAACACCCCACTGTCAACATTAGACAGATCAACGAGACAGAAAGTTAACAAGGATATTCAGGAATTGAACTCAGCTCTGCACCAAGCGGACCTAATAGACATCTACAGAATTCTCCACCCCAAATCAACAGAATATACATTCTTCTCAGCTCCACATCACACTTATTCCAAAATTGACCACATAGTTGGAAGTAAAGCACTCCTCAGCAAATGTAAAAGAACAGAAATTATAACAAACTGTCTCTCAGACCACAGTGCAATCAAACTAGAACTCAGGATTAAGAAACTCACCCCAAACCACTCAACTACAAGGAAACTGAACAGCCTGCTCCTGAATGACTACTGAGTACACAACGAAATGAAGGTGGAAATAAAGATGTTCTTTGAAACCGATGAGAACAAAGACATACATAACATACCAGAATCTCTGGAACACATTTAAAGCAATGTGTAGAGGGAAATTTATAGCACTAAATGCCCACAAGAGAAAGCAGGAAAGATCTAAAATTGACACCCTAACATCACAATTAAAAGAACTAGAGAAGCAAGAGCAAACACATTCAAAAGCTAGCAGAAGGCAAGAAATAACTAAGATCAGAGCAGAACTGAATGAGATAGAGGCACAAAAATCCTTCAAAAAAATCAGTGAATCCAGGAGCTGTTTTTTTTAAAAGATCAACAAAATTGATAGACCACTAGCAAGACTAATAAAGAAGAAAAGAGAGAAGAATCAAATAAGCACAATAAAAAATGATAAAGGGGATATCGCCACCGATCCCACAGAAATACAAACTACCGTCAGAGAATACTATAAACACCTCTATGCAAATAAACTAGAAATCTAGAAGAAATGGACAAATTCCTCGACACATACACCCTCCCAAGACTAAACCAGGACAAAGAATGTTTTGAAAAACTAATCTTGTATATATGTCCTACCTGGTTTGATATTGTTGAATTCCTTTTCAATCATCTCTTCAGAGGTAGACAGCATAAGATTTCTTACATATAGGATTTTCACTGAAGACATTGTATCTTCATCAACTTCTACTTCTGGCTCTGCCCAGTCTACTGCAATACCATGTCCCCATAACTGAATTCTTCCTGTTGAAAATGATCACCATTATGATTAATTATGTAGGAATCAGGACAACATCATCTCAATTTATACCAATGGTCTTTTAAATTGACCTGACCCTTGAGGTCTTGAATGAGCAAGAAGACCATTAAAACTGGTGAGTGTTGATCTTAAGAGACATTCCAAGTGGAGTAGCTGATTAGAAGGGAGTTCTGTGTGACCGGTGGCTTGTTATAACTATCGATTATAAAGGGAACCAGGACGTGGTTTGAGGTTGAACAGAAATGAGGCAGCAGAGGCCACATTTGGCTCTTAGAACAACACTCATTGGGTGAAGGTAGTCACTTAAGGTAAGATAGCACAAGGGAGATAGGAAAATTATGGATTTAGGGCCCAGATATAGAATCTGACTCCACAGAACATTAAGAAGGTTACTAGGAAGAGCATTTACTGCTGCTGGAATCTGTGTTGTTAATTAGGCTAGGTACCACAATTGAGATGTTCAAAAAATGGTGTTTGGGCAAAGGTGGGTGGGACTCAGGCATCCTTAATTTGTTCTCTGTCCCTCACACTTGGTCAAGGCTTAGATCAGCTGTGTTCCCTCTTAATCCTCTTTCACAACATGAATAAATTGGGAATCTGGAGACATTTTCAAAAAGTCCTAATTAAGAAGACAGATGACAAGCAATGGAAGAGTCTATAATGAGAATTTTAATTCTTCTGTAAAGGGTAGTTGTTCTCCATGGCTACATATATTTTTGTATTACTATGAACACATTTTATTGAGTGTCTTGTACTGTACCATCTGTTTCCCATGTGCCATCTCAGTTACTTCTCACAGTAACCCTGTGGGGAGGTGAATTACTCCCAATTTTACAGAATGGGAAATGAGCTTTAGAGAGGATAACTTTCCCAGGCCTGTTCTACTTAACCACCTCCCCCTTTTTTGTTGTTGTTTTGTTTTGTTTTGTTTTTTGGTGACTCTGCTCCTATACCCCTACGCAGTGCAGATCTTGTTGAAGTGATGAGAGGAGAGTGAGAGTCAACCCAAGTTCTAAATTTGATTGGAAATCTAGTTTGTTTTTTATTCGTTATTTGGGAATAAACTTTATCCCGTAAGCAATACAAAGCTTGAGAGAACAAAATCAGGAACTCTCAGTATTGGTAAGGGTTTATTTGTTTAATTACTACACATAGGAAGCAATTATTTTCAATAAGAATGCATCTTTATATTCCTTGAAAAGCAGTCAGTAAAAGCATCCGTGGCCCTGGCATTCTAAAACCCAAATGAAGAATAGGCATGTCTTAAGAGATAACTGACCCTGGAGAAGCTGGCTCTTGTTACCCTAGCTGTGACCATCTTGTTCTGTGTTGCATTTCAGGGGATAGTTTTCTTCATTACTCTCTTCCTTTCCCCTTGTATGCTTTACATAGACTTTTTTTGTTTGTATTATTCCAAGATCCCCAAGGCTCCCACATAATTCTGGCTTTGGTAGCTCAGTGGTTCTCAGCCTTGGCTCCATATTGGGTGAGGTTTAAAAAATAATGAAACCTGGGTTCCACCCAGTGATGTACTAGAGCCAGTTCTTATCTACTTGCAAAAATAGATGATTAAATTTTTGCATTTTTCCTTCCCATCTTTTTAAAGGTATAATTGATCAATCAAAATTGCATCTATTTGTGGTATACAACATGATGTTTTGATACATGTATACATGTAAAATGATTAAATGAAGCTAATTAACATATGCATCACCTCAATACTTTTTTTTGGTGGTGATAACATTTAAGATCTACTCTCTTACCAATTTTCAAGTATACAAATACATTAACTATAGTCATATTATACAATAGATTTGCAGAAATTATTCATTTTAATGGAAACTTTGTATCGTTTGACCAATATCTCTCCATACCTCTGCCCCCAGCCCTGGTAACCACCATTCTACACTCTGCTTATATGAATTCAACTTTTTAGATTCCACATATAAGTGAGATTATGCAATATTTGTCTTTCTGTGTCTGGCTTATTTCACTTAATATAATGTCCTCCAGTTTCATCCATGTTGTTGCAAATGACAGAATTTCCTTCTTTGTAAAGATTGACTAATATTCCATTGTAACTAATAAACAAGCTCAGTATAGCTGTAAAATACAAAACTAACATACATAAATAAGTAGCCTTTCTATACACTAACAACAAGAAATCAAGAAAACTGAAACAGAAATCAAGAAAACAATCTCATTTATAGTATCATCCCCCCAAAAATACTTAGAAATAAATTTAACCAACAAAATGAAAGATCTGTATACTTAAAACTGTAAAATATTGATAAAAAATTAAAGAAGAAACAAATAAATGGAAAAATATCCTATGTTCATGGATTGGAGGCATTATTATTGTTATAAAGTCCACGCTACTCAGAGCAATCTACAGATTCAATGCAGTCTCTATCGAAATTCCAGTGATGTTTTTCACAGAAATAGAAAATACAATTCTAAAATTTGTATGGGGCCACAAAAGACCCTAGCCAAAGAAATCTGAACCAAAAGAACAAAGCTGGGGTCATCACACTACTTGATCTCAAAATATACTGCAAAGCTATAGTAATCAAAATAGTATGATACTGGCATAAAAACAGACATTTAGGCCAATGAAACAAAATAGAGTCCAGAAGTAAATCCACACATTTATGGCCAATTGATCTTTGACAAAGGTGCCAAGAACACACAATGGAGAAGGAACAGCCTCTTCAACAAATGGTGTAAGGAAAATTGGATATCCATATGCAAAAGAATGAGATGGGACCCTTATCTTACAATATACACATAAGCCAAGTTAAAATGGAATAAAGACTTAAATGTAAGACTGGAAACAGTAAAACTACTAGAAAGAAACATAAGGGAAAGTTTCTTGACATTGGTCTGGGCAGTTATTTTTTGGCTATAACCCCCAAAGCACAGACAACAAAAGCAAAAATAGATGAATGGGATTGCATCAAACTAAACTTTCCGCACAGCAAAGGAAACAATCAATGGAGTGAAGAGATAACCTAAGGAATGGGAAAAAAATATTTACAAAGCATACATTTGATAAGGAGTTAATATCCCAAATATATAGAGAACTCAAACAATCAATAGTAGGAAAACAGATAACCCAATTAAAAATGGGCAAAAGGCCGGGCGTGGTGGCTCACACCTGTAATCCCAGCACTTTGGGAGGCCAAGGCTGGCAGATCATCTGAGGTCAGTAGTTCGAGACCAGCCTGACCAACATGGAGAAACCCCATCTCTACTAAAAATACAAAGTTAGCCAGGCGTGGTGGCACATGCCTGTAATCCCAGCTACTCAGGAGGCTGAGGCAGGAGAATCACTTGAACCCGGGAGGCAGAGGTTGCAGTGAGCCAAGATCATGCCATTGCACTCTAGCCTGGGCAATAAGAGTGAAACTCCGTCTCAAAAATAAAAAACAAAAACAGGGCAATGGATTTGAATAGACATATCTCAAAAGAAGAAATATAAATCGCCAACAGGTATATGAAAAAATGCTTAACATCTCTAATCATCAGGCAAATATAAATCAAAACTAAAATGAGTTATCACCTCACACCTGGTAGAATGGCCATTATCAAAAAGATCAAAGATGATGTTGGCAAGGATTTGGAGAAATGAGAATACTTGCATACTGTTGATGGGAATGTAAGTTGGTAGAGCCATTATGGAAAACAGTATGCAGGTTCCTCAAAAAAATAAAAATAGAGCTACCATATGATCCCGCAATCACCATACTGGGTATGTATTCACCCCAAATGAAATCATTATGTTAAAGAGATTCCTGCATTCCCATGTTTATTGAAGCATTATTCACAATTACCATGGTATGGAATCAACCTAAATGTTCATTGACAGATAAATAGATAAAGAAAGTATCAGAATTTTGTGAGCCAGTTAAAGTCGCATTGGTAGCCTGAAATCAGCCACAGTGGGAGTGTTAATACCATGGAAACTGGCAAATGCTACAAATCAGGGCTTTTGTTTTTTCCTCTGGGAGCTGGCTGTTAAAGATTTACCAGCTCGTTACTGACCTCTGGACTACCTACCCTTCCCAATTCTGATATAAGTGGGCTGGATCTCAGGAGTTTTAAAAGTAGCTTAGTTAATTCTAAAATGCAGCCACAGTTGAGTACTACTGCTCTAGCTTTAGTCTTCTCAGCCTAGGACCACGAAGAGCTGCATAAGGCTAAGGGAACAGAAATGAGAGTAAATATGGGAAGCAGTGATTTCCACCAACATCCTTGTGAAGGCCTCTGGTGAAAGTGAGTGTTACAGAGTGATTTGAGAGCATGAGCTAGAAGTAAGACAAGTTCAAATGTCAGAACAATCATCCTGGCTAGAAAACATATCCTTTCTAACATCAGTTTCCTTATCTACAACCTACTATTGTTGTGAGGTCAGGAAAAGATGATGCAGAGAAGACTTAATAACTTTTAAATTATGATTTAACAATACACTCTCCTCTTAATAATTTTTCCTGTTTTTGTGTATGTATAGTTTTCTCAGAATATGCACTCTTTGAGTGCAATGGTTAGGTACTATGTTTTTTTTTTTATTTTTAGAATCTCTCATGTCATTCAGAAGGGAGCAATATGTGTTCTAGATGCTTAATAAATATTTACTGACTGAGCAGTTCCCAGGTATTCCTATTTACATGCCATGAAGATGATTACCCAGTATCATTAGCTGATAGATTTAGCTGTGAATCACAAAATTTGACTGAAGAATAGAATCATCTGGAAAACTTAAAACACCAGTTCCCTAACTTTATATTCCAGTGATGCAGATTCAATTGATTAGAGGCTGACATGGGTACTCACATTGTTTGAAAACATCAGGTAATTCCAATGTGCAGCCTAGGATGGAAAATCATTGATTCAAATCATGGGTTTTCAAATGTGCAGTCCTGGGAGTAGTAGCATCCTGGGAGCTTGTTGTAAATGCGAATTACCTGGCCTGACACCAGACCTACTGAATCAAGAACTCTGGCGGTGGGATCTAGCAATCTGTGCTATAACAAGCCCTCCAGGTGATGCTGATGCAGCCTGACATTGAGAATCACTGCCAGGACTTTTCTTCAGAGCATTCTTAGAACACCTTTCTAGTTTCTGAGTGGGATGCAGCAACTTTGTTCTGTAAAGAGCTCAATAAAGGTGAGATTTCTCAAGGGGGAACTGCCACTGTTTAGAGAGGAGGTAAGTGACTGAGGAGCAGTTACATCCCTTTAGACAACTATTGTCTCTCTGTCTCCAAGTCTGGGTCAATTAAGAAAGAAAAGTTTCTTGTTGTCTTCACTTATCATTTTTCTCAACAGTCTCCTTGTTCTTTTAAACTAGGTTCTCAAAGGGTTGGCAATTAAAGAATTCCTTTGTTGTGGGTGAGTCTGCAATGGGGTAACAGGTAGAGTGATCCAAATGGGTGATAGGTTTTGTTCTGAGATCTCATTAGAGGTGAAGAAGTTTGCTCTGGCTGGCTTACTCACCACTGTGCCTCATCTTGTTAGTTTGCTGATGAGTTAGTTGCTGACTAAAATCCAGCTGAGTGAAATCCACCTGAGACTGGCTCAAAGGGCCATAGGTAAGGGGGTTGCATTGGATCATAGTGAATATGAGTTGTGGACGGGGAGGGGAGGCAGCCTCCCTATGGCATATCCTGGACAGAGAATCCACAAGGAAAAGTCAGGACTGTGGGTGGAAGCTTAATGAAGTGCTTGAAAATTTCTGAAGCTTATCTGATAGGACCTGGCTAGCTAGTCTGCTTGACTTAGAAAAAGGAGTTCCTTCGGTGGGCCAATGTGCCATTCTCCCTGAAGAGATAGGGAAGCTTTCAGGAGGTGGAGCTTCTCTGGGATTACTGGATTGTCTTGACCCTGGAAACTGTCTTTCACTTGTTTTGGACCTTCTTTCACTGTCCTACTCCCCCACACCCCAAATTATTTCACATATCTGTTTTTACAGATAATGAATGGCTTCCTGCATTGAGGGAGGAAAGTGACTAATTCGGGCTGGAATACTGGAGGTAGGTTTCTCAAGAAGGTGCTGGCTGGGCTGGGGTGAATGTCACAAGTGACGGAGGGGCAGGTATTCCTAGTAGAGGATATAGCATTAGGAATAAACGAGACAGACATAAGCATGGAAGTGTCTAGGTCATTGAGGTGTCTGTCCTGATAGAAGGAAGAGTTTTTATTGGGAAATAGAAGGTAGCAAATATGGTCATAAAAGACCAGGAAATGAATAAAAGGTATTGAATAATGAAATCACATATTTAGTTCTTACACACAGCAAGGAGTTATGAATATTTTTGAACTGGCCAGTTAGTGACAGACATCATTCAGCCTATAGATAGAGATTGAATTCCTACTATTTGCAAGAAGGTGTTGAAAGGATAATAGGATATTTTGGAAACATTAATCTGGTGGTAATGTTCAGGATGGAGAAGTCGGAGGGTGGGGCACATGGAAGAGAAAGCAGAGCTGGGAGAATAATTAGATCTTGAAAAAAATTACATAAGGTTTAGAATATGTGTGTTTAGACTTCAGTGGTGGCCTAAGAACAGGATGGATACAAAAGACTTTTCAATGGTACAGTTGTCGATGTTGAAGAAGAAAGAAGAATTGAAGCAGATAGCAAAATATTACGTCCAGGTCACCAAAAGGTATGCCCCCATGAGGAGTCTTAGTGAGTCTATCTATGGACCTGTGATTTAGATGACTTGACCAAATGCTGGCCAGTGAAGAGGGAAGAAGTTGTGAATGAAAGATTCAACATTAAAAATATCTACTTCTCTAAAAGATTCAGCAACCTTTGGGACTGTCTCATTTTTTTTCCCTTTAAGTTGCCTTCATGAAGATATTATTGAAAGATCTTCCCCAAGCCAGAAACTGTCTCCTAGTTTTGAAGATATCTAGGGGGCTGATCTAGTATTGGTTTGTTTTGAAGAGTGTTTACAAAGGCAACATAAATGTAGACATCTTTGTTGTGGTTGTTTTGTTTTGAATTCTGGTGGCTCTCCCATAATTTTCATGAGAAAAGTTCATTCCAGTGTGTCCAGTCTGTCATTTTTGAAATCCTCTTATTTTAGTATTCATTTAAAAACCTGTGTAAGTTGTAGAAAATGTTTTAGAATGAGCCAAGAACTGTAAAAAATTTTCCTAAGTTGATCTGACCGAGGCAGTGTTGGGGTGGATAGAGAATTTGATAGTTATTCACCAAATGGGATCTATCCTGTGGTTGTAATAACTAACAAATAAAGGTGGCTTTCTAAGGAGAGCTTTTATCTCTCTTCTCTCAAATTAGACAGAAATTATTAGACAACAGGGAGTCATAATGAAAGTATGTCACCTAGTTGTCATTGGAATAAGGTATCACTTGAGGTTTTTATTTCTACACTGTAATGGAGAATATACCCTAATTCTAATAAGCCTGGTAACAAAATCTATACACAAAAGTAACTGTGATTGATATACTTAATTTTAAGAAGACTCTTTATTCATCAAAGGATTGCTGTACTTAAAGTTCTGGGTTTCTTTAGTGCATGTAAATTAGCCTCAATGCACAGAATGAATATTTTTCAAAACTGAGTCTGAAAACTTCAGGGAATGGAATCAACTGTGAGACAGTGAAGAAGGATAAAAAATTTAAAATACAGCGTAATGAAAGATAGCCAAAAAAAATTAAAAATGCTTATTTTCTTTGCGGAGGCAGGCAGGATAGGCAGAGAAGTCTCATCTTTGAGGAGGGGATTGCTAACCTGGTAGCAGTTTCCTCCTCGCCATGGCAGCTGCTCGATGACTCTCATACTCCACGAAGGCAAAGCCTCGGTTTTTGGTTTTATCTGCAGCGCTTGGGTAGACGATGACATCGACAACACCTTCAGTAACCTTTTTCATCTCCGATAAGATTTCTTCTCTCTTTTTGGTTTTTGGGATGCCCCCAACAAATAATCGGCAGTTGTCCACACTGGCACAAACCCCTAAGAGGCGCCCATTTCTGCAAAAAGAGCAGGGATTTTGATTGATGAGAATCCTTGTAGGATTCAGGTTGAAAATGTATGGCTGTGGGCCAAATGTTGCCTGAAGATGTGGGATGTTTGGGTTCATAGTGTTGAAACCATTTTTGGAGAGTTGTGGCTTCTTTTGCAAGATTATTAGATGTGTCAACATGTGCTCTACATTTTCAAACAAAAAAGTTATCTGAAGCTGAGTAGCATCTGCTTTCTTTTTTTATTTTATTTTACTTTAAGTTCTAGGGTACATGTGCACAACATGCAGGTTTGTTACATATGTATACATGTGCCATGTTGGTGTGCTGCACCCATTAACTCGTCATTTGCATTAGGTATATCTCCTAATGCTATCCCTCCCCCCTCCCCCCACCCCACAACAGGCCCTGGTGTGTAATGTTCCCCTTCCTGTGTCCAAGTGTTCTCATTGTTCAATTCCCACCTATGAGTGAGAACATGCAGTGTTTGGTTTTTTGTCCTTGCGATAGTTTGCTGAGAATGATGGTTTCCAGTTTCATCCATGTCCCTACAAAGGACATGAACTCATCCTTTTTCATGGCTGCATAGCATCTGCTTTCTTTAGGCTAGATGTGGATTCAAGAGTTGTCAATCCTCACCGCTCCCTGAAGCATCCCCAACACTGAGGTCCCTACACCTAACCCAGGTTACTGAAGCCACCTGCCTGGCCCTGCAGTCGCTTGAGTTTGCAACACCTGACATTCCTTTTCTTTTGTAGCCAAAGAGAAAAGCTGTTCTGATGTGATCTCTGTTAAAAACAGTCTTTTATACTTGAACACATTTTCACATATGACCTTATCTGCCCCACACAAAAAGACTGTGAGATCGGCAGAGTAGAAGTTATTTCCATTTACAGATGAACTTGAAACTCCAAGAAATAAAAAGACTTGCTTAAAATGTTATAGATTTTAAGGAATGAAACCTAGCTGTGGGATCTCAGTTCCTGTTTCTTCCACTGTACAGAGTTGCTTCTTAGCAAGTTGAGGTATGTACACCTTCACTGGCAGAGTACACATGGATTAAACTATTCTGGAGAACATTTGGCAAAATGTATCAAAAGTCTTAAGTGTGCACAACCTTTGACCAAATAAAGTATCTTCTGGGAATATGTCCCTGGAAAATAAAAGTGAGCCCTAGAATTTATGTTTAAGGATATTTATTACTGCTCTTTAAAATCTCCCCCAAATTGGAAATGAGCAAAATACCTCACGGTAAAGAACTGGTTTAATGTCTCTCAACTGAGATGTTACTGGCTTTGGATTGGACATTTTCTCATTGCATACTGTAGTACGTTTACCATCTCTAGTTCTTGCGTACTACATGCCAATAGTGACCAATCTGATCATTCAAAAGTGCCTCCCCACCTTTCTAAATGCCCCCTTGGGTGGACAGTACTGCTCCTGATTGAGAATCACTGGTAAACAAAAGACAGGCATTCATACCATTGCACGCTCTGCAGTCGTTAAAAAGAGTAACGTAGAAGAATATATATTGGTTTAAAAAAACAGTTCACAATTGGCTGCTAGGCTTTAAAAGGCTATAAAATAAGTATATGTGAAGGCCATTTTGATTAAAAATGTTTAGAAAAATCTGGAAAGACAATAAAATATCAACATAGTGGTTATTTTGGGGCAATGGAGTTGCGGAGAAATGGTTTTAACTTTTATTACTTTATGCTTTTTGATGTTTTCCATGTGTTACATATTAGGCTATATGACTTTTGTAATAACACTAAGTTATTAAAAATGGGTGAAGTATGCTTAGCAGAAACGACCCATTTGCCATGAATAAAAGCTCTCAGCCAGGTGAGTGGGCGATTGGTCTGATATCCATGGAGCGAATGGCTCTTGGTTGTGTGGCAGGTTTTCTGACCAGGGTTAGGCCACTGTCCTAGCTGTCTCCTACGCTTTGCTGAAGAACCAAGGACCGTGTGTCAGATCTGTGACAGGTCCATCTCAGTCTAGTAAGAATTGTGCCAGGAGTGTGGTTCTCAAGGTGAGGGAAGGGTTGAAAAAATAATCTTCCAAGTTTTTTTTTAAACTTTACTTAAAAAAGAAAACACCAAAACCTTGTTTTCCACAGTATTAATGTATTTAGAAATTATATTATTTTTGATAGTTAGGGGGCTGGTCATATATCAGTTACCAGCAGGAGGAGCCTAGAATTCCATATTTTATTTTTAAATGGTTGTGGTTTGTCAGGCACCTTTCCCGGAATTATTTGGAGACAAAGAGCCATCTCCTTTCAAAAGCTGAGGCCACAACTTTAATGTCTCTAGAAGCCAGACATTTAGATGACGATCAGTGAATATCTGATGAAGTAGAAGCTGATATAATGATAGGTGGGTGAGAAATGGTGGATAAAAGCAAATTGAAGGTTTCTTCTCTGCAACAAAAGTTCTTTCCCTGGCAGGACTGACCCAAGGCAGAGTGCAAGTAGGTGAGGTTGTCTATGGGGTGTTTATTCTGGCTTGTCTTATTCCGTTTATTCTACCCCCTAATTTTTAAGGTAACACTCTGCCTTTACCTTGCTTCTGGCATCCAACCTGTGCTTTGACTGGAATTTTGGCCAGTAACTTTCTCTTCCTAATTTCTGTCATATTTTTCCTTTTCTTTTCCCTTCTCCTCCTCCATCATCACCACCATAACCTTCTGCAAACATTCATAGAGCACCTAGTATGTGTCAGCACTGAGATGTATGTATATTATCTCATTTATTTTTCAAAACACCTCATGAGGTAGGTATATTTTTATCTCTATTTCACAGACAAAGACACTAAAATTCACAGAGGATACTGTTAATTATCAGTGGCCGTAGTGGATTGATTTTATTCATTATTCATATCCTATCTGCTGTCCAAAAGTATTTACAGGCCCTATTGGGTAACAATGTGTTAAGTAGATACAGTAAATCCACTTGATTCCCTACATAGCCAATTCCATATCTATCTCAACTCAAATACCGTTTTGGGAATAACCCTTACTGTTACGATGTCAAGGTTCCATGAAAGACCAAGGAATGGGGGAAACTTCCAATTCTGGAAATCATAAAACTGTAATGTAGCGTTTTGTAGCCCTTTCAAAGCACTTTAGTATATATTCTTTCATATGGTGAATGCTCAGAACATCTCTGTGTTTAGGTGCCAATGATAAAAGTGATGCTCAAAGAGGTTAAAGCATTCGTCCAAAGGAACCTGGGCTGGACCCCAGATCTCCTGATTCCTACTGCAAACAATCCTCCACATACTACACAAAGCTCTTTTGGGTCCATGGAGGCACCTGTGGGAGGGAAGCCTCCTTTATGTTTTCTCCAAGACTCTTTTCTAGAATCCAGCCTTGGAATTGAATGGTTAGACTACAAGTAGTTGCCGAATCCAACTGATCTTCCTGTGGCTAAGGCGTTGTTTGTTTGTTTGTTTTTTGAGACAGAGTTTCGCTCTTCTTGCCCAGGCTGGAGAGCAGTGGTGTGATCTCGGCTCACTGCAATCTCCACCCTGCCAGGTTCAAGCAATTCTCCTGCCTCCCGAGTAGCTGGGACTACAGGCATGCGCCACCACGCCCTGCTAATTTTGTATTTTTAGTAGAGATGAGGTTTCTCCAGGTTGGTCAGGCTGGTCTCAAACTCCCAACCTCAGGTGATCCGCCCGCCTTGGCCTCCCAAAGTGCTAGGATTACAGGCGTGAGTCACTGTGTCCGGCCCAGGAATTTTTAATAAAATAAGCCAGTAGTTAATTGATTTACAGACTGTAAGGATAATGTATGACTTCTTTTGGTCCTATAGAAAGTGAGAGAAAAATAATTGTGGTAAATCTGCTCTTTCTGCATTCATCAAATTTAAGATCTACCCATTTTAAGGTGCAGTTCTCTTTCAGAAGGGGATAAGATGTAAAAAAAAAAACTGCATCTAGAATTGATGAACTGTGCTAAAATACAATTTTTTTTTTTTTATCATTTGTCGGCTTATCACTGTGTTCCAAACACTGGGTTAAGCACTGTAAAGTTGTTATAGCAATAAACCTATGAAATAGATGGTATCCCCATTTTATAGATGAGGAAATTGAGGCTTAGAATGGTGAAGTTACTTGGTGGCACTCAAATGAAGCATGGCTGACTCCAAAACTATTGCTCTTTAACTGCTGCACTAATCTTCCTCTCACGTGGCTCAGGGCTTCCTTTAAGAAAGAATTTATGACGGTTCTCTCTCCAAGTGAAGGTTTTAGAAATCAGACAATTTCATGATGTCAGTTTTATTTCCAGTTTATCAAAACGGGCAATTGGTTGCACAAAGTCAATTACATGGGACTCTCCCCTAGTCCCATGGTCTTAATTGCTATCTATATTTAGCTGACCCCCAAATTTATATTCCAACTGTGACCTGTCTCCTGACTCCACCACAATGCAGACAGTCACCTTCTCAACACCTCCCCTGGGATGTTCAATGTGCATCTCAAATGTAAAGTGCCCTAAAAGGTCCTTCCTCTGCTGTTCTTCCAGTCTTTTCCATTGCAATGGCACTAACAAGTTCACAGATACTCGGACCAAAATCCTAGGTTTCCTCCCTGAATTCTGAATTCTCTCTCAGTCTAAATCCAATCTCTAGCCAGATTTGTGTATATCCCAGATCTCACCCTTTCTTATCTTGTCCACCATGGACCCCCTCATCCAACTACCACCATCTCTTGTCCAAATCTAGACAACTGCAGCAGCCTTCTAACTGGTGTCCTCTTTCAAACCTCACCTGCTATAGTACATTCTCAACCAAACAGCAGAGGAATGTTTAAAAAACTATAAATGTAATCAAAACTCTTTCCTCCCTTCTATTAGAAGAAAATTCAAATTCATCACCACAGAGACTTCTGTACTTCATCTACACTTCCTCACACAGTGCACAGCTCTCCAACTGTATTGCTTTCAGTCCTCCTCTCTTTACCCTCTCCGGCCACATGGGCTTGCTTTCTGCCCCTCAAACATATCACGCTTGTTTTCACTTCGGGAACTTTATACTTGATGTTCTCTCCTTTCCTGAAATAACCTTCCCAAGGTCTGACTGTCATGACTGGCTCTTTTCATTCAAGTCTCAGATTAAGTTTCACTCTGCCAGAGAGTATTTTCTTAAATACACCAAATTAGAGTAGCCACCTTCTCACACAACTTTATCCCATCCCTGGTTTGATTTTTTCATACTATTTTGAGTGATCTTATATATTTGCTCTGCAAGTAGGAAATTATACCTTGATATATTCCCAATATTTTGAACAGTGCCCAATATATATTTATGAAACAGGCAAATTATTAAGTTTTGTTTCTTTGAACACTCATAGAACTTAGTTTGGTATTCATATAGTATTGATATTAATAAATATTTAATCAAATTTATTTTTGCCAAGGAAAAATACTAATCTATTTCATTTCTGGCTTGGCTTTTTTTTTGGCATACACCATATTAGATAAACTTGATAGAAAAACAGACACAGGTGCATTGTTTGTTTCACTTTTAATCTAGAAGAGGCGGAGCTTACCTAATTTCATAATTATTAAGTTGCTTGATTGCATTCTTGGCTTCCACTTTATTTGAAAATGTTACAAATGCATATCCTCTATTGTTGCCATTAAAATCCATCATCATTCTCATTTCATAAATTTTACCGATCTGCAAGTAATAGAAATAGAACATTTATATTTATACGTTTGTACTTCTGAATGTATGTGTGCATGTGCTGATACACACACAAACACACACACACACAATGCTTTCTGAAGTTTGCCTCCTGCCAGTACTATTTGGCATTTGCATCCCATGTGGAATGGTTTGCATATTTTCATGTGGGTTCAGATCAGTTATCTGATTCATGAGAGAAGTTAAGTTAAATAAAATGTGTACAAGTGACATTTCAGCCTGAGTTAACAGAATGTGTTTTTGGTAGGGCAAATGACCTTTTATCACATAATTATCTGGAACATCTTAGAGACATGAAAACACATTTTATCATAAGTACAGTTTCTTACACCTGTAATTCCAGCATTTTGGGAGGCCAAGGCAGGTGGATTGCTTAACCCTGGGAATTTGAAACCAGTTTGGGCAAGATGGTGACACCCTGAGTCTACAAAAAATACAAAAATTAGCTGAGCGTGGTGGCACGTGCTTGTAGTCCCAGCTACTTGGAAGGCGGAGGTGGGAGAATTGCTTGAGCCCAGGCAATAGAGGCTGTAATGAGCCATAATTGTGCCACTGCACTCCAGCCTGGAAAACAGAGCAAGACACTGTCTCAAAAAAAGTGCAATTTTTTGATGTATATGTCCATTTCCTCTAAATTGTCCTCTGAAATCTCCATAGTTTAATTTCCAGTTGGTCCTATTCTATCATTGATGTTTAAAATAAAATCCAAGAATGCTCATTCGCCAAACTAACTTCTTAGCAGTCTTTTTCCTCAGCCATGACATCAAAATGAACACAGATATGTTTCAGGGGATGATCTGGGAGGCTTGTCATTTTCTCTGTCTGCTGGCTGAATGTAAATGCTAGCCTAAATACTACTAACTCAGGGCTAGGGCCTCCAGAGCAGGAGAACACTCTATTCCCCTGGCTATAGTGACTCTACTTGCCCATGTAATACTCCCTTCTACTCCACAACTGTCCTGCAGCAATCTAGACTGAGCAATTTACTATCACTGGCTGCTTTAAGAAGGGTTGCCCAAATAAATATGATGGCGCATGTCTGGAGAGAAGTGCCATTAAGCACATGCCATTTGTGGTTGGTCACTTCTCAGCTCAGCCTTACCCTAGCCCACCCTCACGTATTCAGTAATGAACACCTATTTCTTCTGGGCTCATTAGGAAATAGTTTGAACATGTTACATCTCTATGTTTCAGGTGTTTCTTGATGCTCATTTTCAGATTCAGTATATAAGATTCTTACAGAATTAAGTCCTCATCATTTGTCCTCATGCCAAGAGGGATTGTATGTGTAAAATTAGGTGCAGTTCTGAATCTGAGGCTGTTAACACACACACACAAAATTGATTTTGGCATTCAGGCAGAGAGCTAAATTCTTATATTTACTAAATTTTTCAGGAATGTGCTTGTTGCTAAAAACTACTTGGTAAATTATTAAAAATAAAATTTAATTTTGTATTCTTCCTTTAACTGAAAAGCCATGTTCTTAATCTTCTTGATGCATTTAGGTAGACAAAAAATTCAGACCTGGAGATTTCATTCTGGATTATAGATACATGTTGAGCCTTGTCAAACATACACATTCTTTTAAAATGAAAATGTTGTACTTTATAAAACTGTATTAAAATTTCAAGTTGGAGCAATATCTAATTTTAGACAGGTTATTGTAGGGTTATTGTTGATGGATAGTTTGTAGTCAGATGGCATGACAGTGGAAAGATTGGGGAACAAGATATAGATTTGACAGTCATTAGAAATTGTAGCAATTCAAGCTGTCAGTAACAGGACAAGAGCTAGGTCAAGGCAGTGATTATAAAGAGATAATCACTAGAAACTTTGTCTATAATTGAGGAATGGTAATTGGAATGGAAACAGCCACTGACCAAGAAGGCTGAGAATGAAAGCAAAGTGAAGAGAACAGTATTTTTCCCTTGAACGATAAGAAAAATTAAATGTTAAATTTGGACTCACTTTTTCACATAATGGTATAAGCTCATCCTCAAAAAGGTCTCGGGGAAGTTTTCCAATAAAAATTTCACAGCCCCTTTCAGGGGGTGCAGCATCCCAACCAGGTGGAGGGCCACCATATTTTCTTTGTCCATTTTCCTGCAAATCCAGGGCAGGTGTGAAGGAGAGGAGAAAATGATCAAGACTTTAATTCAATTTCCCTGAGTATTTTTCAAAATAATTTCACATTAATGAATGTATTTATCATTGACAAGTAATAATAGTGGACTGGTTAAAGGAGAAAAATTAAAGCTTTTTATGTGGATTATAGTACCACACTCTGTGCTTCAGCAGCTTGCTTGAGATAAACATTGTGAAAACTTGTAAACTGCTAGGCAAATATTTTTTTTTTCTTTTTTAATTTCATTGAGTAAGAACACTTAAGAGATCTATCTTCTTACCACATTAAAGAGTAAATAGATCAGGGTAATTAGTATATCCATCATCTCAAACATTTATCATTTCTTTGTGTTGGGAACACAAGGAATAGCCTTCTTCTAGCTATTTACAACTACATATTAATAATATATTATTGTTAAACGTAGTCATCCTGCAGTGCTATAGAACAATAGAACTTACTCTGACTGAGGCAGAAGGATCCCTTGAGCCCAAGAGTTCACTACTAACTTCTACAACTAATATTTTAAGAAGTTTCATGCTATAAAATGATACAAGTTGTGGAAAAAACACAGTGACATGTAAAGTAAAAAGAAAAATTCTCCAATGTATCACTGTACCATCCTTAGAAGTAGTTACTGTCAAAAATTTCATAGGCCTTTTCAAATATTTTTCTATGTATATTTTTAAAAGACATATGTTAGTTGTTTAAATACACTGCTTTGTATGACTGTTGTTTAAAATTGAAGTAAAGCAGCTTGTAGTGTCCCTGTTAAATCTTCATATACACCAACTTGAGTCTTTCTCAATTATATTTTGTAAGTGTTAGCACAAAGGCTCTTTGGATCACAGTATTTAATTCATATCTGTGGTGTCTGTGGGTCATGATCACACATTATTTCTAATAATTCATACCACGTTTTTTAAAAATAATAACTTAAAAAGATATCATATGAGTCTTCTACTTTGCCTGGATTACTTTTTTTGTTTCAAACAACTGAGTATTTTTAAAATCTAATTGAATATTTAAATTTTTGCCTAGAGAGTTCCTGTACTTTTTTCTTACCCTAATATTCTTGTCCATTAGTAAAACTTTGATATCACTGAGAAATCTGAGAAATTGAAATACTTATGCTTATAGAAAAAAACCCCAAAACCTTGGTAATTTAGTGGTTTATATCTCAACCAAGAATTACCTTAAAAATGTGCAATTGACATTTTCAGAGACATTAATGAGTTTTATTTATTTACTTCTTTTCAAACAAATACCTATATAGCATTTACTATATGTCAGATACTGCTCTGTCATTACTTAATGTCATGGGTTAAGGACAGTTATTATCCCATTTACATAAGGTATCAAAGCCCAGATAAATTAATTTGCCAAGGTCACATGGTTGGGAAGTGGAGAAGCCAGAATTTGAACCCAGGCAGTCAGGCATCAAAGTTCATCAGCTTAATTTTTGCATTTTGCTCCTTTGATACGTGGAAGCCACTTATAACAGATACATACATTAAAATATTCCTTATTGGTCTGGCATGGTGGCTTATGCCTGTAATCCCAGCACTTTGGGAGGCTGAGGTGGGTGGATGGCTTGAGTCTAGGAGTTCGAGACCAGCCTGGCCAACATGGTGAAACCCCATCTCTACTAAAAATACAAAAATTAGCTGGACATGGTGGCACATGCCTGTAATTCCAGCTACTTGGGAGTCTGAGGCATGAGAATCACTTGAACCCAGGAAGTAGAGGTTGCAGTGAACTGAGATGTTGTCACTGCACTCCCACCTGGGTGATAGAGCAAGACTCTGTCTCAAAAAAAAAAAAAAAACTCCTTATTTATGAAAAAATGTATCATGCCATTAAATAGCAAATTCTCTACTGCAATTTAAAATCCTTTCAATTTCCGATCATTTTATTACATAAAATATTTGGAAGAACATATCTCATATTTCTAACCCCAAAATCCAAAATTCAAAACTTTTCAGTGCCAACATGATGCCACAAGTAGAAAATTCCACACCTGACCTCATGTGATGGGTATACGAAATCGTTAAAAGCATTGTATAAAATTACCTTCAAGCTATGTGTATAAGGTATATATGAATTATAAGTGTATTCTGTGTTTATACTTTGGGTCCCAACTCCAAGATATCTTTATAATGTATATGCAAAAATTCTAAAATTAAAAACGTCTGAAATCCAAAATACTTCTGGTCCTAAGCATTTTGGATAAAAGATACTCAACCTGAATTGCCAAATTACCATCCTTCTCCCTGGGCAAACTCTTTCCATTTCGGTGATAATGATGCTTCTGAGCCCATTTTTATGTATCTTTGATGTCTGTAACATTCAACAGATTATAAGTTTACTATACATTGGGTGGTATTTTTACCCTTCAAGTTGAGGAAACCAAACTTTAATCTCATAATAGTAAAATGGTAATTCCAGAAATTCTGCTTTGAATAGCTTTGATAGTTTGAAAATAAATAGGCAACCAGCAGATTGACCTGTTTAAATATATCTTCAACTTTCTTGATTGCTATAATTGCTAAAAATGCCATCCAACTATTTATGCATATGATGCATATAGGAAGATTTACCTGCTTACAATCTGAAATAACTGGGCAAGAAAGCATATTAATTGTCTTTCTTTGTTTTTTATAAACACTTGAAAAAAAATCCAAAGAATATTTTTTGAGACTGTAAAGAGTCTGGCCAGTTCAGGGATGCCCTGTAGTTCACTCAGTAGGGGAGATTTGCTCTGTGAGCCACCCGCTGGTCTTGGAATGTACCAGTAATGGAAGTTCAGATCAATTTAAGACAGGCAATGGGCATTAGTCATGGGGTTAGAATAGCTGTCCATTACTCAGAAAGGACAGTTGGGCTCTGGGTTGCTAATATGTCAGGTACTATTTTCATAGTTGAGGAGTTTAAAATAGATAAAGCCCAGTTATAACTGCTCTTTTCTCTCCTAGCTGATGTCTTCCTCAAGGGAAGCATTCTCCCCAGCAGCACAAATGTATTAATAGTTCAGACTAAAAGAATATAGATTTTTGTTTTTCATGAGAGAATGTTTATTAAACTCTGGAAACTTTTATTTTTCCAAAGACTTACAAACCGTTGTCTCTCTAGAGTCATATACAAATAGGTGGAAAGTCTTCACCTATGTAAATTAACAATTGAGGACACAATTCTAACTATAAATCCAGTGGCTTTAATTTACATATTGGATGCTGAGCCTACCCAGTTACTCAGTTTATATGTCAAGAGTACTTGGAAATTTCCTCCTATCACAGATATTTCAAGTCCTTCATGATGAAGCCATTGAGTCTTCAAGAGATTTTGTCTACCATCTTCTTGACCTTGGATAAAAGCCACAAAACCTTCCTCAATAAATCATTCTAAGCAGTAAGTCTTAGCATGAAGATTGAATGAACTGAGTTAATTTTGGCCACTGAGCGTTTGAACTTGTTATATACCTGGGGAATCTGGGCAAAAATTGCCTTCTCCTATAGAACTTAAAAATGACAGATACTTGATTTTTCTAGCCTTCCTTGCAGCTGGGGCCATCATGGTTATTGGAAAATCATGGTTTCCTTTACTAAACCATGGACAATCATGGTTTCCCTTACTAAAATTGAGTTCTGATGCAAAAGCCACAAATGGTGCAAACTTTAATGTTGAGCATTCTGTGATGGCAGATAACATTTCCTTATCATGACAATTATGTGATGTGGTTTTGGGTTTTGTTCTTAAAAGCTTACCCTTGAATTGGATTCTCCACATCTAAAGTTTCTGTGAACCAGTACCCTTTTAATAAACTCTTTTATACTTAGCCAGTCAGAGTTAGCTTCTGTTACTTGCACATGACAGTAATGACAGCAAAAAACAACAACTATCTCCAATTGAATTAGGTATTTTTCTGAGTGCTTTACATTTATTTAATCTTCTCAACAAATCTATGAGGATGCTACTACTATTACTTCCATTTTATAGGCAAGGAATCCAAGGCATAAAATATGTCCAAATTCATACAAGCAGTAAACAGCAGAGAAAAAATATGAAGACGCTTGTAGTTCCATTATCTTTCCTTCATTTTTACATTAACACAATATACTAACTTTATAGATGAGGAAACTAAGTCCAGAGATACATAACTTGTCTAATATCACACTGGTTTAATTTATTGTAGAAAAGACTAGAATAAAGGTCCTATCATTCTCAATTTGGTGAACTTTATGGCATATATAGTACTCAAAAATTGTGATGATTATTCTTCTCAGGCTTATCAGCCTCATAAATCCTCATGTTGTGTGTTACATTTATTTTCCTGCTCAACTTCACCAATCATGGACACCAGATGGTTATTGTTTCCCATAAATGAGCCCATTCATAACCGGAAGGACATTAATTAATGAACCCTCATTCAGCCTGTTTTTTCCTGAGTAGTAATTTCAGTTTCTTTAATGGCTCTTTGGAAAGTTCATATTTCAAGTTTGTAATCGTCTTTGTGGTTCTCTTTGATTCTTTGTTTCTTTTTCTCCCCTCTCTCTAAGAGGGAAGAAACTGTGTATTTTTCATAACTAAACTTGTTTCAGATGTTTTCCTGTACATTTTCCAATTGACCAGGTTAGTATTTATTCCTGCTCCTGTTCCCTTGGGTCCTAGCCAAATCTACCCTTGCTTAGTAGCATTTCAAGATTTTACCAGCTTGCCAGTCACCAGGACCATACCCAGAACAGTGGTTCTGTGATCAGACTCCTGTGCATGGTTCTTAAAGTTGACAACAAGGCATGGAGGACATCACTCTTGACTGTGTCACTTGTGTTTCATGAGTCTATACTGTATTTTCCTAGTTGTTGATTTGTGAAATTGAATAAAAGTATTTATTAGACATTATTTCTATTGTATTCCACCTATATACTAGATCCTTCATTATGTGATAGATAGTTTAAGGAAAGTCTATGGGGCCATAAAAGGTACCAACAGGATCCTCTTCAATGTGATTTTACCTTTGGTCTCTTCTAAAGTTTTTGTTGCCTGAGAACAACACACAGTGCTGCAGGGAATATTCATTTCTAAATTGTATATAAAATAATTATCTATTTTGTATAGTTTGTTCACCTTCACATCTTGTTAAAATCAGTGACTTCATGTTGGTAAAATCTGTTTTTAGACTGGAATTTAGAAAGCAGAATTTATTTGGCTTAATATACTGTAGAAGTTGGCATTATTTCTATTGGCTATTTTTCTACAATTTTTACAAGATGTATGCAACTTGAATGCCAGATATAATGTTCCTAAAGTAGGAAGAATAATAAAAATTGTGTATAAAGACTAAATGAGTTGTTGAAATTTTGTGGAAATGTAGATTAGAAACAAAGACAGGAAAAGCTACGATATGAACATTATCAAATATTAATTTAGCTTTATCATCATATAGCCTAGTGTTTCTCAAAATATGTGAGGATGATATTAGATGGTTTATAGGTCAGTATTTCTTATTTTAATAATTATGCATTTATTTTAATGTACATTAGAAAAAGTATAATTAGCACACAAAACCTGTGGGTTTCTTACATATGTGAGAAAAAGTTTGCTTTTAACATAAACGACTAAAAATAGTGAGTTGATTTAATGAATTCTTTTTTTTTTTTTTTTTTTTTTTTTGAGACGGAGTCTCGCTCTGTCGCCCAGGCTGGAGTGCAGTGGCGCAATCTCAGCTCACTGCAAGCTCCGCCTCCTGGCTTCACGCTATTCTCCTGCCTCTGCCTCCCCAGTAGCTGAGACTACAGGCGCCTGCAACCATGCCTGGCTAATTTTTTGTACTTTTTAGTAGAGACGGAGTTTCACTGTGTTAGCCAGGAGATTTAATGAATTCTAAATAAATAATATTGGTGGCATGTATCTATGGCAAAAATCATGAAGAAAGATGCAAATGGCTCTTGGCTCTTGACTTTCATTTATTGGTTTCACTTTTTACAAAGCCCTGACATTTTATCTTTAAAAAATGTATGATATGGTTCTTCTAAGGAAACAACTATGAGTAAATTATGAGTCACCTTCCTGTTTCACTTTGGAAGATTGACCATTGAAAGTCTATTTCCAAGGAAATTAATCCCAATTTCACTTGAAGTTGTTAACTATCTTATGGAAGCAGAAGTAATTTATGTTTTCAAGTTGATGCATTTAATAATATCTTTTAATAATTTCCCTTTATGTTTAAGGATTATTCAGTATCAACGTTTGAAGCATTCAAAAGCAAATAGGCTTTTTTAAATGATGTGTTTTGCAAAGCTTTTTATAATGTAAGATTTTGGTCATTCATAAGAATATTGAATTTGAAAATAGACAAAATTAGAAAACAGAAAACATTTTGTCAGTGTTTTTCAAAATTACAAAACAGAAAACTTATTCGAGTGTTTTTCAAAATTAGAAAACAAAAAGCATTTGTGTGTGTGTGTGTGTTTCTGTAAAAGAGAACGAGTAAAATGCCAACTCACTTCTAAGACCCTCTGCTTACCTTTTCCAGCAAAGTTTGCAAAATGATGGACTGCAAAGCATTATTTCCTTTTTTGAGGCCAGGAATTGCTGTGCTCATGCTCGCTTCTGGCTCTGGGCATGTGCCCAGACACACTGCTTCCATCTATAGGAACCTCTAAATTCCTTTCAAGAAGTAATTAGGTGACAGCTTTAGTCATTCCTTAATCCGTTTGGAGCTTTTATCCTTAAAGAATGTGTAATTTATTCAATAGGCCCATCTAACTTTTTTGTTTACTTACAATTTGCCTTTTTGAATTAACTATTATTATGGCCGCTAGATCTGATTAAGTTATGCAAAACTTCCCATGTGCAGATAAAGACATAATAAAGAACATTTGGTTTGGGTAATTGCTCTTCTATCTTTTCCTAGTTCAACATATGCCAAACATAATCCCATCCAATGCACCGGGTTTGAGGCATGTAAGGAATTTTGTATAATCATTCTTCTCCTTACAACACTCTTGTGAATTTTAATTTCTGACAAGCTGAGGGACTTGGCAAGGCACTAAATCTATTCTGACTTTAATTATTTCATCTATGAAGGAGTAGGAGGGTTGACTAGGTGATTGCAGTAGTCCTGTAGGGGTGTGAGGGTGCTTGTAAAAGGAAGGCTGACTTTGATATCATGTTTAATGGAGGAAAATGTTCATAGGATGTTTTGTGAGTTAGTCAATTGGAGCCTTAAGAGGATATTGTAATTTTAAAAATCAGTGTATCTTCAATTCCATGTCCAATTGACATCTATTCTGTTAATTACCTAATGACTTTATGCATTGATTCACTTTGTTACTTAAATAAGCTTATATCAAAAAGAAAATATATTGTTCTTATAAGTGGAATATCAGTATCATTTCCCATAAATGGTCGGTGATTATAAAAACAATTGCAAACAAGGGAAATCATGGTCAACTTCTACATAGACACTGTCTACTAAAAGCTCTGCACTCTAGTTCTGCTCTCGGGACTTAAAAAGGTTAGCAGGGCCTGAAGAGGTGTTTAAATCATACCTCCAACAACTAACTTTCCTCACCTGGAAGCCTGAGAGAGAACTGAAAGTGGAATAATTCTCTCTATATGGGATTGGATGTTATTTAATGATGTGGACAATGTGCCATTTAACATCATCTTGGTTCCCTGCTCAGCACTTCTTTAACAATGTTACAAAGGATCACAGCTGCTGAAATCCTATACAAATTCATGATTGCAAGGAACTGTGATCTCAATAATTTCTTCTTTGCCTAGCTTGTTTGAAAGCTGTCTTTTGCATCTCATAATGCTAAGCTTTCAGGTTCTGAAGATGAAGAGTCACTTAATTTTAGTTGCCAATCAGTACTCACAAATGAATAGCACTTTAAGAAAAAGTGTGAATTTGTCAGCGTGCGCAGTCCAAAGTCCACAAGACCTGCTCATGCTTCTGCATATTTGGGTCATGAGGTCACACCAATTTTTAAGCTGATAAAATAGAAAAAGTCTGTGCTTCTAGCTTAAGGGAAAGCACTACCTTGTGTCGTTTATGAAGATTTTGAATCTTATATCAAACACTTCATATATAGTCAACACCCTATGAGGCTATTCGAGGAGAAATTCATTGCTATTTGGAAATAATAGCTTCTGGAACATATCTGTGTTCCTTGGGATAATGAAGTTCCCACAAATGTTGGGCACACACCCCCTCCACAAAGGGATTCACAGAACTGCTCCTTCATTTGGAGTCTTTCACACCACGCTATGGCATCTCTGGCTAGTAGAAGTAAGACTGCTTCTGAGCTTTAAAATAAAGTTGGCCTGTGGGTGGCTGGGGTGATAAGCTTAGGGAAGCATGAGCCTGTGATAATCTACTGGTCCCATCCTGTTCTAATGCTTATTGCTACCTATTTAAAGAATTGGTATCCGTGCACTTGGTGAATGACCTAAGTCCTTGGATAGCAGGGATGTGAGCAGGTGGTGAAAACAGGCAATAGAGGAAAAAGTAGGACCCAGGAGCTATATTTTGCCATGAAGTCAAATTCCTATTTCTGTCCCTAGGATTTTTTGTGCAGTGGTTGAAAAAGAATGTCAATGCCACAGTGTTTTTCCATCTGCTCCTCTCGGAGCCAGTCTAGATGAAGCCAATTAGTAAACCTGAGACCCTCAGGTTATTTTTATTGTATTATTTATAGGAAAAAATGCCATTTGAGGAACATTCAATTAAAATTACCTAAGTACATTATCTCAAACCGGAAAGATGGAGAGTTAGCTTAATTTGGGGCACTCTTAGAAGAGGAACGGTATTCTAATTAGACTTGATCTAGCTCCATTCTTTGTACCTGATGGCTTGTATTTGCTGAAGAACTGAACAAATTAGAATCAAAACATGTGATTTCATTGAAATTCCATACAAGAGAGAATGCATATAAAGGAAAGTGTGAGGGGTGGGAATTGAATACTGTATTTTGTTCCTAGTTTGAGGAGATTGTTCCCAGGACACCAGGTTCATGGCTGATTAACAGAGGAAGGGAAAGATGAAATCCACCGACTTATCTGCTGTAATCTCACTAGATCTTTGAAAGTAAGACACATTAATGTCTTCACTACCCAAAAGTGTTCTGCACTGTATAAATATTTTGTTTAAGGAGTACTGCCTGTGTGCTCCATCTCCCAGGGATACTTGGCTCCTTGCAGAGTTTGTTTGCTCTCATCTGGTAAGTCTTAGCTTCAATGTAATTTTTCCTAAAGAAGGTCACCTGGCTTTGACTTTTACACAGCCTGGTTTATCACATTCTTGACACTTACCATGATCTGTAATTACTTTGCTTGTTTCTTTATCTGTTAATTTTCTATCTTTTCTATGAGACTAATCTTCATAAAGGTAGAAACATGTCTCTCTTTGTGGTGGAATCAAGAAATGAATTAATACATGAACGAGTGAGGGCCCAGTGCTTGAGGTGGTGTGAATGGGCAGCACAAGAAGGGATGCACCTACTTCTTTTAAGGGAGATTAAATACTAAATTAAAGAATTTTCTTTAAAAACTAGATTCGCTTCTAATATAGAGCAGTAGGCTAAGGAATCGAGTTGGAGTCAGCAATTTTTTTTTTTTTTTGTAAAAGGCCAAATAGTTGATATTTTAGGCTTTTTTTTAAAAAAAATGCTTAAAATGTAAAAAAAAAATCATATCTTGCAATTACTACATAAACAAGCTGTAGCCACATTTGGTTCATGGGGCATAGTTTGTTGACCCCTGATTAATAATTGTGTAATTCTGGGGCTTATTTTCTAACTGCAGAACAAAAGGATTGGACTATATCAATATTAAACAAATTTCATGTATATGTAGAATTAGAAAGAATAGTCTAGTGAACCTAGGGACCTATCACCCAAATTTAATAATAAAGTTTTTTTCCATGATTTTTTTCTTTTCTTTTTTTTAACTCCTGACTGACCCTTAGAAATCTTTTCTACCTTATGAGATTTTTTCCTTGTGATAAAAACGATCTGCATTTATTATAGAAAATTTAGAAAATGAAGAAGAGCATCAGGCAAGAAAAACTTAGAGATTATACTTTGTTATTTTACAATATTCTTTACTGTATGTGAATAATTTTTTAAAATATTCTTCACAAATTTATATGTAGCCTTCAGATTTTTAACTAAATGTTAAAATTGAATACTTCTCCATGTCTTTGAAAATTCTTTGAAATCATAATTTTATATTACTGTATAATTTGAAAATATAAGAATGATCATAATTTGCCTGACCATTAATATTACATTGGATATTTAGGATATGTTTAAGTTTAAATTTCTAAAAAATTATACATTTCACTATAATAACATCATTATGTCTAAATATTTGTCCTCATTCCTCAGGTCAAAGAGCATTGTCAATTTTAAGGCTCTATATAGAAAATGCTGATCTTTTTGGTACCCACAGCTGTATTGCTCATTTGAGGCTGCCTTATGTTGTTGTAAATTTTAGATACATTCTTTTTCATTTCACCCACTTTATATGAACTTTAGGTCAGGCACTGCATTTTTATACTCTATAATCCCGAGACCCAGCACTAATACATTTTTCTCAATAATAGGGACTAAGGAAGCAAAACAGAAGAACAAAACAAAACAAAACAAAAAATATTGATGTTTATTTAGGATGATCATTGGTTTACGAAAGCAAGGGGACTATCACACCTCAGAAAAATTGATTGTGCTGTAATGATTTTTAGAAAACAGACTACCAATAGGATAACTAGATAAACAAAGCTAATACACACCACATTTTAAATTTTATATATATTAGATATAATGAGTCTATTTTTAAAAAATTAAGACTACCTGAGGGTGATTTTTATTAAATATATATTTAGGTTTAGTTGCAATAGAATTAAACTTGATGTCAACAGACACCACGTTGGGTGGAAGTGTATATTTTTCTGAATATGCTCACATATGAGAATATATTTTTCTAGTTCTAAGGAGAAAATTTCAGGTGAGAGGAGCATCACATATCATAGTTTATGACCCACATCATTAATGCATTCTTGAGGAAAGACTCATCATAATGTAATTTTTTTTGTCTTTAGCTATCAAAGAAGTATATGCTAGCTTTCGAAATCAGGAAGTACAGTTAAGAATAAAAAAGTAGAGAAAAGAATCCCCACACATAATTCCATTACACAGAGACAAAGACTGTTCACATGTTAATACTGCAGCACACTTCCTTACAAAATATTTTTATAAGGCATAATACAATTATGAAGCTTAAAGTTTAACTTAGTAATATTATACAATTTTCAACAAGAGTATGTATTAAATACATACTATATGTGGGGTACTACATTATATCTCTTTTTTCTCTACAGTACTTTGATAAAAACTTCAGTCATCAATATCCAAAGATGTTTGATTATTTTAAAAAGATCACAAAGCATATTTCCAAACCCTTAGAAGCAGGCATTATTGCATCAGTTGCTACATAAAAGCCTGGGTCACGTTATTAAGTAACTCACAAAATTCTATTTTTGATAGCTGTATTTGTCCTGCTAGTGATAAGAGAGCACAAATTCATCACCCTCTGTTTTTTGAATTCTTGTTCTGTAAATATTCAACATTCAATATCAGAGACTGCAAAGATACAGCAAAAGTAAATCCTTCAAACCCTAATCTATAAAATTCTAAACTATCATTTTATGGGTATGCTGCTTGGATTGTATTAGGATGTTTCTTTATCTTAATTTTTGTACAAAAACTTTTTTAAAAAGTAAACTTGATGTTCTTAATGTTGCCTTTCTTTCTTTCTTTTTGGATAATCATATTGATCTTTTGTATAATCCAGAGTAGGAAGGCTGAAGTATTAGTAAGACTAAAGGATTTTCCCTAAGTTACAAAGAGTTTGAAGTTGTGTTTCTACATATTTAGGCTACCCTTTCGACCAAATAGTCCAGTGTGCTAACCAGTGACTAGATTCAGAAGATACTAGAATCACAAAAATCATGGACAAATAGTTGGGTATTGCGTACCTGATCTTCCAGGAGATTATGGCCTGGAGATGTTAAGGGACTTTTTAAAGATCATACAACTCATATGTCATAGGGACTAGATTAGATTACAGGCCTTCTGATTTAAAGTCTTGGATAATTTTCCACACTCTGTAGCCAAAATCAGGAGGGATTCTTTAATTCATTCAAAATGATTGAGTTATATAGGTATTTACATTTTGATTAGAGGCCTTAGGTATAGATAACTAGCTTTTGGAACATTAAGCTTCTACATTATTGAAGCACTTCTGATTCAACAGTCACGCTGCTAGTCAATATTACTTAAAGTGAATCATGTTACAAAGTTTAGGTTCCAAAAAAATGTTTGTCACATGCTCTAGGATGCTGATCTCTAAAATTGCAATCTTAAAAGTCACATTATAACAACTCTCAGTTTTCTGAGTCTAACCAAAAATTTTGGCCAATAACAACAGAATCTTAATCTCACAAGTTATCTAAACTGTCTGTGCCTTGTTTTCTTCATCAGGAAATTGGGGATAAACATAGTAGCTATCACACAGTGTATAGTAAGGACTAGATGAGTTAATATACACAAAGCAGATAGAATATTTTTTGTTATTATTATTATTACAATTAACTTGTGGTCTAGGTCCTTATTATAAGCATTTTCTGAATATCATTTAATAGATAAGATCAAAGTAAAATAAAGATTGGCCATATATTTTAGGAGTATTTTATATGTTAACATTTTCAATTATACATATCATTATTTTCTCTATCAGATAAATGTCCTTAAATCATAACATTTGACCTTACAATGGAGCAAAATTTTTAAATGGAGTAAGATTATCTCCATTGTTATTTGGGTCTCTTTTCAAAAAAATTATTTGAAAGGTTTCTTCATAGCTTTAACAATAATGTGTTACAATTGTCCTTCAGATTTTTTTATATGATTACTGTTAGTTACTGAATACTATTTCATCTGTGACAGGATTTTAAGACGGAATTGGACTTTTAAAATTGGTGCATAATAATTGTACACATTTAAGGAGTCCATGTATGATATTTTAATACACGCGTACAATATGTAATGATCAAATCAGGGTAATTAGGATATCCCTCACCTCAAACATTTATTTGTGTTGGGAACATTTCAAATCTTCTCTTCTAGCTGTTTTGAAATATGTAATAAATTATCATTAACTCTAGCCTCTGATTTAGGTATGAAACCAAGTGACTAGAGCACCAAGCAGGATGAGAAGGTAGCAGGAAACTATTTTTCCATTGTTAACTGTCACCCAACACCCTAAGCTTAGAAAAGAGATTGGAGAGTTTGAGAGAAGTTTTTGGAATTTGCACAAAGATATTTGGAGATGACTGCTGTTGTGTTGTGACTCTTAGTTCCCCCTAAGTGGGAGGAATTGGGAGGCGCCTGTCATTTTGCCTAAAGCAGGAGAAACCACTTAGACAGCTTGATGTGTATTCCCTGCCTTTGTGTTTGGGGAACACACTAAGCTGGTGGATCTAACTCACTCCTGAAATCTCTCACTGTGAACAATGGGTTGGCCTGCAGCTTTGTTGTTGGCAAGGAGAAGTGGTTGCTTTGTGTCACCTCAATTTCCAGATTTTGTTGGGTCAGGGAATGTGTGTTTCCGGGGATCAGAGTTTGGCCACGTGTAGAAATTAATGATTATCTTCCATCCTCTCCATGAGGGCTGCTTCAAATATCAAAGAGAACCCAGCAGGAGGCTGGGTGTCTGAAGATCGTAAAAAGAATCTCACAAGCTTCGATACCTGTCAGGCCTGAGAGCCCAATGAAGGTAGCTCAGTAAAAACTTTCCTTTACCATTTTCTTTGCTTTTATTTCTCCCTTCTGCTTCAATCAGGAGTCAGAAATTGTAGTTACCAAACTGGTGTTGAAAGAGGAAAACATAGTGCAGAAAAACAGAAAAGAAATTATCCTCCACCCTGACATACTTGAGAAAGGGAAATAACTGCAACTTTGAATGATTTTATGTCTTTACTATTATTCCAAACAATCTAGTTTGGAATAACATCAATATGAAAAAAATATCAATTTTTTTAAATGAAGGATTTTTATTACCTGAACGTTACCAGAAAAGTTATGAGACTTTACCTGAATTTCATGTGGGGGGAAAAGGAAGAACCAGTATCCAGAATTGAATGAAATGTAATTGATAATTTATATTGTTTTAGGATTATTTTTCATAAATTCTGCTTGTTGGGTATAATAATTATACATTCATAATTTACTTAATAATTTTCTTGTATTTATACATTTAAGTTTGTGATATGCATTACAGCTAATGTCACCCTTGACAGATTTATACATATTTCTATCTTATATTATGGGTCATTAGAAATACAGTTCCAGAAAAGGAACACTCATATATAAATATTAACAGATTGCTGTTTGAAAGGGTTGAAATGCTTTCTATTTCTACTGTCTTTGCACAAATGTTTCTAATATCAAGAAGTTCAAAATTTTAAAAAGATTCAAAAACATTCTTGATTGTATAACATCTATGGAAGTGTTGATTGCAAAAAGAAAGAAAACCCTCTTTTCAAAAGTTTAATGAGTCTAAAATAATTTGAATTTTAAGTATTAAAAAAACTAATATGTCAGTATCTCCATGGACTTAAGTGAAACTTCAAAAAGTCAACTATGAAATAATAGAAACTTTTTGAAATCTTAAAAAAGACTAACGCTCTTCATTAGGATGAAGAAAATAACTATTACTATGTCTAACAAAGCATGCCATGATTTATAAAATTAATTAAAAAATAAATGTATATTTTGCAACTGACAAAGGAGCATCTAATGGAAGGACACTCTTGCATATTTTATTGCTAATCACACATGACATTTGAATTCATAGTAGTTTGAATTCAAGATTTGGTTAAGTTGGGAAAGTATGTGAGTGAAAGAAAATAGCTGAGAAATTAAAATACTTTGTCCTACTGTAAAAACAGCAACATTTTTTTCTTTAAATAAGATAATATATGTATCTAACACTACATTTTTTTAAATGCAGCATAAGTTCTCTAAAAGAAGATATCATAAAGATAATAATAATATACAGATAATTTCTAAAAGGCAGTGTCTATAAATAGACAGTTTTAAGATTGTGGTGTTTTCTTTTTTCCTTTTACAAAATGCTAAGCATGGAGACAAGTTAGTATTACATATCCTAGACTGGATGAGCAAGTGTTCTGAGAGAACAAACTGCAGCAGCTAGACACAAAAAGTTCATTCCTTGGATCCCACATCTAGAAGTCTTAGGTGTGCAGTGATCTCTCTGGAAACTAAGCCTGGTTCCTGCTGTAGTTTATTTTCTGCTGATTCCTGAAACACCAATGTGGTTCTACTTCATAGCCTTGGGTGGCAAATTCTAGCTGCCTTTTTGGGATAGTCTCTATAACTGTGGACACTGATTCTGTGACAAGTTAAGGTTGAATTGATAACCTAGAGTAGAAAGAAGGTTACATTCAGTGTCATCTACAAAACAGAAATGTTGCAATTTCCTTCTCTTTTAGAAAGGGACATTTCTCTAAAGAGCTATGTAACTGACCATTCCCATTTTGCATCTTAGGACCTCCAATATTCCCACCACTGTGCAAATTCAGTGGTGAGTCTCAGCAGATTTCACAAGTTCCTACCTGGACCAAGCTATATCCTGTGCGCTGGACCAGTGCGCGGAGGGCTGCTTCCTTCTGAGTGCCGCTCAATCCATCCCCGGATTTGTGATTTGATTCCATTGAGAGTGATTATCAGCAAAAAATCAGGTTAATTAGGGTTGCTCACTGAAACCAAATTTAAGATAAATTAAGTAAATTACTGTTGTCAAGTCCAAACTTCTCCTTTTCATGAAGGACATCTTTAGGAAATATTCTCTGTAAATGCGTCATTAAAGTTAGAGCAACTAAGAGTTACATACAAACAAGGCTGTGTAAATGTGCTCTTAAAAAAAAACTTTTAAAAATGCACAATATTGGTTGAAATTTAGAAACAAAAAAAAATGAACAATACCCATTCTCCAATTATAATGCAGATTAGTAATTCTGAATCCACTTATCTCAGGATGTCACCAAATACTCAAAAACAGATCAGCTCACATCTATTAAAAGAATATGAAGAATGTTCCTTACAGACGTGAGAAGAGGACACTGTCGCTCATTCTAACCACTAAGATAAGAAATCAGAATTCTCAGAGATTGAGTTTTAGTCTGTGTGTCAGCTAAGATAGTTATCTACTTATTCTCCAAAGATAAATTTTTAGAGCAAAATATGCCAGTATCACATACACAGAAGTCATCATGCAAAGTACTCTATGTAATAAAAATGTGACATTAATTTTAACAAAACAAGAACAATGGATGCTTTTGACTTGACGTGGGAAGGGTTTGCTAACACCCAGATCACATACCACAGACATGTTCAGTAGAGTACATGAAAACTTTTGTAAATTTTAAAAAATGATGAAAGTTTACATATGTTCACGTTTGTGTGTACAGATATAAATGTATAATTTCAGCATTTCATTGTCTACATTTTCTATTTTGGGAACATGATTTGAATCACATTCCAAATATGATGGTTGCTCACATCCACAAGTTCCCAGAACAAGATAATGTCCATTTTGAAGGTTCTAGGCTGTAGGAGTGTGAGGCCCTGGAAGTTCCCACATACACAGAGGTGAAGGCTGCCACACTGGGTTCTAGTTATTAGTGGCTCAGGGAAGGTTCTTTGCTGGGTTTTCACCCTGCTTAATGTGCTCTGCCAACCAGGACAGAGGAATATGTTTTACAATGATCTGAATCAAATGCAACTAGAATGTATTTGAATATAGGTACTTTTGAAAATTTTCTGTCATATGCGTTGAGAATTCCTGTACTGCTTCACATTGTCCTTTAAAGACTCAGAATGAAGACACCATTAATAATATAAGAAACTGGGTGAAAATTTGGGTGAAAGAAAAAAGTGAAGCTGAAGTGATCGTTTCTGAAAAATGCAGCTTTAAGGTATTCTATTACTAAAATTACTATTACTTGAATAACAGAATAGTAATAGAATATTACTAACAATAGCAATATTACTAAGACTACCTACTAATATTAGTATTAATAGTACTACTATTACTGATAGCACTAATATTAGTACCAATATTACTAACACTAGTATTACTAATTGCAGCACTAGTAGTAATGACAGTGCTAGTATCACTAATAGTAGTAATGATAACAATATAGTAATAGGTATTCTATTACTAAAGTAGAGGTATTCTATTACTAAAATTACTATTACTTGAATAACAGAATAGTAATAAGATATACTATTAGTAACAATAACAATATTATTAGGACTACCTACTAATATTAGTATTAATAGTACTACTATTACTAATAGCACCAATATTAGTACCAATATTACTAATAACACTAGTATTACTAATTGTAGCACTATTAATAATGACAGTGCTAGTATTACTAATAGTAGTAATACCAATATAGTAATAGTAGTAGCAATAGTAATATATTGTTATAATTACTGGTAATTATTACTATTACTACTATTATGATTATAGTAATACTAATCATAATAATAGTAATAGTAATTATTACTAGTAATTATAATAATACTATGATAGTAGCAATAGTAATATTAATAGTATTTATAATACTACTATTAGTATACTAGTATAGTATTACTATAGTAGTGCATATAGTATGCTAATACTATATATATTATGATTAGCAATACTAATCGTAATAATAGTAATACTATAGTAATACTAATAGTACTACTATTAGTAATAGCAATGGGTATTCTACTACTGAAGTAGTAGAATTAAATAAATGTCCCCAAGCTAATAGATAAGCATCATTTAGAAAGTGATATTTTGGCCAGGTGCAGTGGCTCTGGCCTGTAATCCCAGCACTTTGGGAGGCCAAGGAAGGCAGATCACCTGAGGTCAGGAGTTCGAGACCAGCCTGCCCAACATGGTGAAACCCTGTCTCTATTAAAAATGCAAAAATTAGCCAGGAGTGGTGGTGCATGCCTGTAATCCCAGCTACTTGGGAAGCTGAAGCATGAGAATTGCTTGAACCTGGGAGGTGAAGGTTGCAGTAAGCTGAGATCATGCCATTGCACTGCAGCCTGGGCAACAGAGTGAGACTCTGTTTCAAAAAAAAAAGGAAGTATATTTTCATTATAATTTAGAACATCAAAGGAAAAAATGAGATTATCAAGAGTTAGCTGTTTTTAGGGACAGAACAATGTCATCCTCTTTATATAAACATGGATATTCTTGCCTTCACCTTTCTGATGGTTCTTGCCTGCTGCTGACTCAGGGCAATTCAGTTTGCATTCACTGATTGTTTGAAGAAGCATATAGTTAATGCTCTCTGTTTGCTATTTCTACCCTCTGTCCAGCTTTAGGGCATTGCATTTTAGGGGGAATCTGCTAACTTAGTAAGTTAACATGCCAGCTTCAGTGTCTGTACTTTGCAAAAGGCAAAACATTTTGAAGACTTACAAAGGAAACTAGTCTTTCAGATAAAAATTAACTCTTGCTTTTTTCCCAAATGCTACCAAAATTGTCTTTTCGTGAGGATACTCTCAAACCCTCTCACTGTGCTTAATTAAATTGCAAGAGCAGGGAGGCTGTGGATGGGGTCTGATGGGATTATTTACGTATGTGTTACACCTCTTTGAAGGCAAAGTCTACAGTCTTCTGGCCAAGTTGTAGATTTGTTCTTCGCTGAACTTCATCTTTTCCATCAAAAAGATAACAGTCATGCTGAAATGACAAGTTTATATTTGCAAAATCTGCCTTTAGTTTTGGTTAATAATTAGTAAAGGTTATTAAAGGTATCTTGAAATCAGAAAGGTCTTTTGATCACATATAAATGCACTCTGAAGTTATTGAGAAAATCTGTATAATATCTCAATTATAGTGTCAAGTCATTGGGAATCAGGGCATGGAAATAAAATTCAAAATTTGTCATGAGAAACACTTAATCTTTAATTTTTATTTTGCAAAAACAACCCCCTCTCAAAGTGTTGACCTAGTCTAAGGAGTGAACTCGAATCCCAGATAAATATTTCTTTTAAGCAAGTCAAACTTTTATTAAAAAGCTTGGCCAAATTGAAATAAAGCCTTTGCAATACATCTTCTAATTTAGCACCTTGTAAGTTCTTCAGATCAGAATTATGAAAGAATAGTTCTTAAAGTATCTTATTGAAGCAATAGAATTTAAAACAAATAGAGCAGGCATTAAGACTTTGGAAAGATAGAGAAAAGCTTTCATGAGTATTTATCACCTATTAATTCAGAAATTATTTATTGAGTATCTACTGTCTTCTAAGAATTTTCAAGACATAGGGATGTAGATGAGAAAAAATAAAACCAAACCTCTCATCCCCCAAAATATCATGGAGTTTTACAGGGGATGAGAGAGGTAATAAATAAGATCAATAAGTAGAATACAAAAAGTGGATCTCATGGAGGTTAAAAGTAGAAAGGTGGTTACTAGAGGCTGAGAAAGGTAGTGGGGAGAAGGAGATGAATAGAAGTTGGTTAAGGGGTACAAAATACAGTGAGACAGAAGTTCTACTATTTGATAGTATAGTAGGGAAATTATAGTTAACAATAATTATATATTTTAAAATAACTAGAAGATTTATAATGTTCCAAACATAAAGAGAAAATAAATGTTTGATGTGATATTCCAATTACTCTGATTTGATCATTACACATTGTATAGAGGTATCACAATATCACATATACCCTCAGAATATGTACAACTAATATATGCCAATACACAGTAAGTAAAATATAGTATACTTACATAATTTTTGTAGAGAAAATCCACAGGTTTTTGGCACAGCACTGTTATCTAGTTGAGGATGGGTGAGAGCAGAAAGGGTCAAAAAAGATGGAGATTGGATGGAGGGGAAGGCTACGGTTAGTATTACAGGAAAGAATCATATATTCACATACTGTCTCTAAGCATCAATTTCCTCATTTGTGAATTGGGGTGATGAGCAGGCTGTGCAACATATTGTTGTGAAGATGAAATGAGAAAACACCTGTGAAGCATTGCCCTAGGTTTGCTAATATCTCATATTGGAGGAGAGAAGCAGAGTAGAGGAACAGCAAAAGGACTCCAGAAAGGGCCTGATGAAATGTCAACTCCTCCTTGTATAATTTCCTCCCCTTTCCCTTCCCTTCTCCTTTATATCCCTTCTAACAATGGGATGAGCAAAGGACACAAAGTATTGAAAGCCAGGGCTTCCTCTAGTTCTTACAGCTTCCATTAACTGGCGATCAGAGTCTTCTTGTCCTCTCAGACACTGTGTTTTTATTAGCAATGGAACACTTGGTTTAAATGTATCCTCACCACCAAACCTGCTATGTAAAAATGGTCCCCTCTTTTCTTTACTTTTTTTTTGAGATGGAGTTTTGCTCTTGTTGCCCAGGCTGGAGTGCAATGGCATGATCTCAGCTCACCGCAACCTCCGCATCCCAGGTTCAAGCGATTCTCCTGCCTCAGCCTCCCGAGAAGCTGGGATTACAGGCAGGCACCACTACGCCTGGCTAATTTTGTATTTTTAGTAGAGATAGGGTTTCTCCATGTTGGTCAGGCTGGTCTCGACCTCCTGGCCTCAGGTGATCCGCCAGCCTTGGCCTCCGAAAGTGCTGGGATTACAGGAGTGAGCCACCGTGCCTGGCCAATCCTCCCGGCAGGTCTCCTCTTTTCTTCTTCCACTTTCACCCTAGAGGAAGCTATCTGAGCCTGTTTCTTTACATATAAAATTACGATGGGGCCGGGTGCAGTGGCTCATCCCTGTAATTCCAGCAATTTGGGAGGCCCAGGAGTTCCAGACCAGCCTGGGTAACATGGCAAAAGCTCATTTCAACAAAAAATACAAAAATTTAGCCAGGTGTAGTGTCATGCATCTGTAGTCATGCTACCTGGGAGGTGGATCACCTGAGCCTGGGAGGTTGAGCTTACAGTGAGCTGCGATTAGGCCACTGCACTCCAGCCTGGGTGACAGAATGAGACCCTGTCTCAAAGGTACTCCTACTACTACTGCTGCTGCTGCTGCTATTACTACTACTACTACTACTACTAAAATAAATACAATTAGGATGATGATAATTCCATCATAGGGTTCTTTGAGGATTCAATATTAATATTGGGAGCTAAATAATGAATATGCCTTTAAAATACTTAAAATGGTTTCTGGAATTTAATAACCATCCAATAAATATTAGCTATTATATCATTTTAATTATTATAATTATCAATCTCTAACTCCAAGAGGCAGAATTTCAAAACCAACTGTGTGAAGGATAAAGTCCCAGGTTCTTAGCATGACACATTGTCCCTTCAGGACTAGACCCTAGACTCCCCTTCCAGTGTCATTCACATGCCCTGCCACTTGGCCTTCCCATGCTTTCTTACACTTCCAGTTTCTCTGCTTGGAATCTCTTTTCCTTCCCATGCCTCCTAACTTTGCCACATTGGCCTTACTGATCCTTCTAGACTTGATTAACATCTTCTTTGCTCTGTGATGCTTTCTTTCTTTGACAACCTCTGTAGGTAACCTTCAAGTGTCAGCTCCTCAGTCCTCTCAAAAAAACCTGTACATCCTTGTATTGTTTCGCACATGACTGTATTTATTGGCTTACATGTCTAACTTTTTCACTAAACTGTGAGCTTTCTGAGCACAGGGACTATCTTGTACCTCATCTTTGTTTGCCCAGAAGGCTCAGCTTGACATTATGCTAAGTGCTTAATTGATACTTTTAGAAGAAATGCAAAACTTTGGATCAGCAATTTTATAAATTACAGAGACTTGCAGTCAATCAGAATTAAATTTAATCTGAATTGAAAGTCCTAATACTTATTATTTCTCTTTTTCCAGTTCCTTCCTGAAATTTCCATCCTGGAATGAATTTGTTTTATATAAGAAATTGATTTTTGTTGTTTCTCTGCATTTATGAATATGTCATCATACTTGTGAGAGAGACAAGAAAAGTAAAAAAATTCAGAGTGCAGAGTGATTAAAATATAAAGTTGATATTTGTATACACTTTTCTATCTCTTTCTGGTTTTATATTTGCAACATCAGTGCCTATTTGACCAAGAAAACAAAGATCTAGAAATTCTTGGGGGTTCAAGACTTCTGCCTTCTTGAGAGGCAGAGAGGGATTGGAATGAATAGCTCACCTCGTCACTTGGCTGCAGCTGCTCAATGGAAATTGCCATAGTTCACTATTGGGCAAAGTTAGAGCTGCAGTTCCCGACCCTGTTGGCCTCAGGTGCCAGTGGGTCCAGTTTCAGGGAAGTTGGCAGGGAAACAGATGAGAAGGAAGTTGGAAGAGAGACACAGGCAGTGTAGTACATTCTGACTTTTCTAAATCTAGACCTGTTAGCTGGATAGTATGTCCTGCTCTTTGATTATAACCCTGAGCTAGAAAGAGGAAACACATTTATCTTGTACCTAAAAGCTGATCCCACATGAAGAACCAAGTCATGGAAAGAAAACTAAGCGAGGATTTTAAGTGAGATTTGTTATCTAGATTTGCCTGAAGTTATGAGAATGGTAGAAGGTCTTACTGCCCTAGCAGACCATAAGTTGGCAGCTAGGGAAACAGACAAAGAGGGAAAATGAGTAATATATGTATATAAGTTTTTAAAAGAAAATAGAGATGGGGCTAGCTATGTTGCCCAGGTTGGTCTCGAACTCCTGGGCTCAAGCAGTCTTCCCATCTCGGCCTCCTAGACTGCTGGGATTACAGGCGTGATCCAACATGCCTGGCCTGTTTTTTTTTTTTTCTTAATGTCTTTCAAATGGTAAATTGGGGAAGATACAAGACAAAGGTAAGAGGAGTACATACTAGAAAAACACATTTAACGAGTCATGAAAGCATAGCTTGGCAAAAACAGAACTAGAAATCGTAGTTGGGCACTACTGGGTATCTATCCAAAGGAAAAGAAATCAATATATCAAAAACATACCTGCACTCATATGTTTATAGCAGCAATATTCATAATGGCAAAGATATGGAATCAACCTAAGTATCCATCAACAATTGGATAAAGAAAATTTTATATAATATTATATATGTATAGTAGAATTTTATTCAGCCATGAAAAAGAATGAAATTCTTTTATTTTATTTTATATTTTGCAGCAACCTGGTTGGAACTGGAGGCTATTTTCTTAAGTGAAACAAGTCAGACACAGAAAAACAAATCTGTTCTCATTCATAAATGGGAGCTACATAATGTGTACACATGGAGGTAGAGAGTGAAATGATAGACAATGGAGATTTGGAAGGGTAATGAAGTGAAAAGGTGGTGGATGATGAGGGATTCCTTAATGGTTACAATGTACATTATTTGGATGATGGATACCCTAAAAGTCTTGACCACTCTGCAATCTAGGCATATAACAAAATTACACTTGCACCCTATAAGTTTATACAAACAAAAGAAATGGTCATTGTGAATGACAGGCAGAGAGGAACAGAAAGGAGACAAAAGATAAAGACAGAATTAAAGTTAGAAGATTTCTTGGTTAAAAATTAAAGTAATTATCCTCGACTTTAACAAAAGGATCAGCAAATATTAATTTAATATCTGCAACGTGGTAGACAATTTAGAGTTAGGAAATGAAGGCATTCTGTTAATAGTATGTTTACTATCTTGATTTGATTTTTCGGAAGAAATTGGATAAGGAAACTGAATGGGGACAAAGACTATTTCTGACTTGGTAAGCAGAGAAGTGTTCTTTCATAATTGAATGAGAAGCCACTGGGGCCCGTACAGTGAGGTGCTCCACGTGCATTTCAAATCCATGATGGCTTCACTTGCCTCTGGGACCTCTCCAAACTGAACCTAGTCTTTCCTCAATGTTTAGTTGTGCCTTGACATTACATGATGTAGGCTGGACATAACTTTTATGTAACATGCAAGTTGTACAAGTGGTTTTAGCACGAATTTCAGCCCTTGAGTATCTCCTGGGAATTTTACGTGAAAGAAATTCTAGATAGTACTGAAATGGTTGGTGAAGGATTTATGACTGAAGTCTATATATTTGCCTGATGATGCTAAGTAAATATTGCTTTGCATTGCTTGATACAAAGCTCTAATATCCACCTTGGAAAAATATTTACAATTGATCTTAAGTCTATTTTGGAAATTAATTCTTGTGGTAGCATGCACTTTGGTCATGGATCATGAGCCATAGCAAAATTAATAGAGAATATGTATACATAAAATTTCAAAATATAGCCATGAAGACATCACAAAAAGTCCCAATGTGCAACATCTTAGTTTTTTAAAACAATACTAGAAAAAAAACTAACCAGAACCTCCTCTATGTTTTTCAGGCATTAGCAAAAAATCATATATTAATTTGGAACTTGTCAATTTAAGCCAAGACAAGGCTTAAATTAAAGAAAGAAAAGAAATGTAAAAGTTGTTCATAGTGGACATGTTAATTTTACTTGTAAGTATTGACAAAAATTTTCCTCTGTAGTAGGTTTCCACATTTTTAAAGAAGAACAAGCTTACACTGAAATTTCAGTTCTGTTCTTGAATTAACTGTAGCAAACTTACACAGGGACAGAACTGAAATGTAAATGTAAGCATCTTTAAAATTGTGGAACCTGCTGCAGAGGAGGATAACAGAAAACCAAATACCATATGTTCTCACATATAAGTGGGAGCTAAATGATGGGAACACATGGACACATAGAGGGGGACAACACACACTGGCACCTTTCAGAGGATGCAGGGTGGGAGGAAGGAGAGGAACAGGAAAAATAACTAGTGGGTACTAGGCTTAACACCTGGGTGATGAAATAATCTGCACAACAAACCCCCATGACACAAGTTCACCTGTGTAATAAATCTGCACTTGTATCCCTGAACTTAAAAAAAAAAGTTAAAAAAAATTTAGTTCTGCCACCATGATTTTAACTTTTCTGAGGTCTAGTTTTCTAGTCTAAAAAAGGATAAGAATACTGATACCTAACTTGAAGGTTCTTTTAAGCATGGAATAAATAAGGTAATGAATGTGAGAGCGCCTAACATAGTACCTGGCATATAGAAGGTGCTGTAGAAATATTCTATTCTTATTCTTTATTTGCTGCTTTGTTTAACTCATCTTAGCCATGACCTGTGATTTTCTCATTGGTTATTCTCCTCCTGTTTCTCCAATGCAGAGAAAAATTCAATTTCGAATGCATTATCTTGAGCTCTTTTATATTGCCTTACTAATGGATCCAGTTATTTCATTTATCTTTGTTTTTGCTACCTAGTAGAAAAGTTGTTAAGGTCCTAAGACTGTTCATGTTTGTCACCTCTCATAGAATATATTAGTATTGTTATGAAAGGTAGGCACAACTGAAATATCTAATGATAAAGAAATATTTGAATAAGCAGTGATACAGTACAGCTAATCAAATCAATGTTCTAGAAGAATATATAATAATTTAGACAGATACTTGTGAAATATAATAAAGTAGAAAAGGCAGGTTACAAAACAGAATGTATGGTCTGATTTCATTTGTATTAATTTTTATATTCAAATATGCTTTGATTACACAAGGCTAATTTGTTATCTCTGGGTGAGTGGATTAACAAATTATTTTTGTTTTCTTCATTCTTGCTTATTTGACTATTTTTAGCTTCCTATGATATATAGCTCTTGCTCATAATATAAAATATAAAAGTTAAAATTATGTTAATAAATGGATGTTAATGAAAATATCATACTTTTCATGAAGATGTGGTCAAGTTTCTATTCTTGTTTTTCTTTTTTAATTAATACATAATAGATTTAACATATTTTGAGGGTACATGTGATAATTTAATCCATTTATATAATTTGTAAAGCTTAAAGAAGTATAATTGGGATATCTATCACTTTAAACATTTGTCTCTTCTTTATGCTAAAAACATTAAAATCATTTTCTCTAGCTATTTTGAAATGTACACTAGATTTTTGTAAACGATAGTCTGTTTATTATTAATTACAAGACAATAAACACTGAAAATAAGCATTCAACTAAAGAAGCTAGGAAAAGAATGAAATGGACAAAAAGAAATTGGAAGGAATCAAAGATAAAAGTAGAATTAATAAAACAAATTTGTAGACTTGATAAATGTATGTAACAGCTGAGTGTAGTAGTAAATTAGCATTCAGCTGGCAATCCTGACAAGGTAAAAAGGAGAAAATAAATTTTCAAAACAAGAGAAAAATTGGATATAACCAAAGATTCATAGACTTTTAAAAAAGAGAATACTTTTACCAATAATTTGAAAAATATACATGTAGTGGACAAAACCTTAGAAAAGTGTGAATTTTTAATCTCAAGGATAAGTTAAAAATTTGAATAAACTAGTAATCATAATCTATATTGAAAACATTCAATGTTTTCCTCCCAAATAACACCAGATCCAGATGGTTTTATTAGGCAAGTTTTATAAATCTCTTTAAAAGCAAATTATTCCTTTGCCATGTAAAGCCTTTTGAAGAGTAGAAAATAATAGAAAACTTCTGAAATTATCTACAAACTCATCATATCTGATAGAGAAAAATATACTACAAAGTAGAACACTAGACCAGTATCATAGGAGTATAGATATGAACTACATATGAAAAAGCATCCAAAATAATAATATACAATGAACAAGATGGGATCACTACAAAAATATAAAGTTTATTAAACATTAGGGATTATCGAAGTTTAATTCATTTCACTGTTAAAAAGAAAACACGTGATCATCACAGTAAATCTAAAAATGGCACTTAATGAAAGTTAATACCCAGTATTGGTTTAAAAAAAATCTTCATAAGTGAACAATAGAACAAAACATCCTTAAATTGATAAAGAGCATCTCTCAGAAACATGAAACAAACATTATACTTAGTAATGAAACACCACAATCATTTATTCTCATTAAAAACAAGTAAATCAACTATATAATATGATTGAAACTAATGAAAGATTACTACAAGGAAAATTATAAAATAAATGTTCTGTATTTAATAGAAATAACAAGTGAAGTATAATAAGGTCTAAACAATAGAATAAAAACATAAAAGTTGAATAAACTTAACGAGAAAAGTTTAAAACCTATATAAAAAAATGATAAAATTTGACTGAAAGATCTAAAGGCCTTAGTAAATGGAAGTTTTGCTGATGTAAAAATATCAGTTTTTCCCAAATTATTACTTTAATGCAATTCTAATTTAAAGTCCAATGAAATTATTCTGAAATTTGACAAATTGATTTCATAGTTCACCGGGCAGGAACAATGTGCAATAAATGCCACAACATATATTGAAAGTGTATAATGATTTGGAACAGCCCTAATTAACAGTTTAGATTAAAACAAGCATAGAAATAGAGAACCAGATTAATGGAGTAAAATAAAAACTCTGGACCCATAGTTTTGTTTATACTGGAATTCACCAATAGGTGCTATTTCAAATTCATAGGGGGATCATAAACAATTTGAGAAAAAAAATAAAGTGGGCATATCACCTCATAACATGCCAGCATTCTAAATGGAATAAAGAAATAACCTTTAAAAACATTGTGTAACTTCCAGAAGTAAATATAGTAGAGTGTTTTTATAATCTCATGGTACAGAAGGTCTTCTAAACCAAGCATATTAAGAACCATAAATGAAAAGACTAGCAGATTTGACTACAAAAATATTACAAACTTCTGTAATGGCAAAATAAATGAAGTTAAAAAGAGTCTACAGACAGGAAGAGAATAATTGTTATTTATATAATAGATAGAGAAATATTATCTGTAATATACAGATTACTTTTAAATAATAGACACATATCAGTGGACAAATGAGCAAAGGAAATGAACTGTCAATTTAAAGAAATCAAAATAGCTTATAAACATGATTTAAAAATGGTAATCTTTAGTGATCAGGAAAAGGCAAATTAAAACAAAAAACCAAGATAACATTTTTTTGCCTATTATGTGGCAATATGTAAAAATATTTTAAATAAGGATAATAAACATAGCTAACATTTACTGAACACATATGCTATGTTCTGAAAATTTTAAACATAATTCATTTAATCCTCATAAAAGCTCAGTGATGTAGCTATTATTATTCCTATGATATGGGTAATAAATCAAGGTAGAGAGAGGCTAAAGTGCCCAAGGTTACACTGGTAATGAGTGGCAGACAGATGATTTGAATTTAGGTAGCCTGGAGGCTGAGATTGTGTTCCTAATTACTAATTTTACTTCTTTCCAGTTTCCTCATCTTAAAAAAAAATAGGCAGGGGGTGTGGAAATTATATCTACCCTGCCTGCCTTAAAGTGTTGCTGTGAAGAACACAGGACACCATAATGAACCAATGAGGGGGATGCTGTGGTCCCCATTCTCTTCCATAGGGACACATGGTCTGGAGCATCTGAAGCACTATGGTAACTTAGCCTCTTTGCCGGAATGAAAGTGAGCTATTGTAATAGCTCCTTCGAGGAGTGGTGTGGGTGGATTGTCTGATGCTTCACTCGGACACATCAAGGATTGATCCCCTGTGGATATGGTCCAAATGGACCCAGCTGTCTGCTATGCAGAGTCATATCTCATTGAAATGTTACTCCTTGGCAAGTGTGGCGCCTTCATGGTTTACCAAATGATGTATCATTTGGCAAGATCTGGCTCAGCTTTCATGCTTACTTTTATTCTTATATTTAAGTTCCTTTTTTTTTTTTTTTTTTTTTTTTTTTGAGACAGAATCTCGCTCTATCACCCAGGCTGGAGTGTGGTGGGGTGATCTCAGCTCACTGCAACTTTCTCCTCCTGGGTTCAAGAAATTCTCCTGCCTCAGCCTCCCAAGTAGCTGGGATTACAGATGTGTGCCACTATGCCTGGCTAATTTTTGTATTTTTAGTAGAGACAGGGTTTTGCCATTTTGGCCAGGCTGGTCTCGAACTCCTGACCTCCAGTGATTCACTCACCTTGGCCTCCCAAAATGCTGGGATTATAGGTGTGAGCCACCTCGCCCAGCCATTTAAATTCTTTAAAGTGTTGATTCTTCTTTCCACTGATCTTTAGTTCTTCTGGATTGTAGATAGCAAGAGAAGAAGAAATTATCTATAGACCAAATATCTCATGAGGTTGCAATGGAGGTAATCAAAGCCCCAAGTGCTTCTCAAGACAGCTAACACAACTATGTGTAGTTGTGTTACACACAGCTACACACAGGGAATGAGTAAGGTCTTCTCACTCTCCATCCTCAAATGACCATATAATTCATTTTTCCTTTTTCTCTTTTTCTGTTTTATTCTTTAATTTTTTGTTCCCTTTCCTGCTCTTTTGGTGACACCCATGGCTAAAGAAGTTTCTGAATCCATCTGACATGTATATTGAACTTTTAAGGCAAGATATTAAATGTTGTAGAGGAGTAATGCTGATACAACTTTCTAAATAAATTGTTATTTTTGCAAGGATGCGTAGGGCTAGCTGATGTTTGATTACTGTTTGTTGAAGTTTAAAATCTATATACCATCCTATATGGAATCATTCTAAGTCCTAAGTAGAGTAAATTAAAATAGCAAAACCTAAGACACTGGAAAAATTGCACTGTAATGAAAATATCTATAGAGAAAAGAAAAACTATATCAGAGAAAAAATACCATAGGAACCACTGTCTTAGAGTTTATCAGAGAAAAAGAACAAGCAGGTATAAAATGAACAAATGATTATTTTATTATAATTTTAATATGTGTTTGTGTATATATGTATATATCTGTGTATATGCACATATGTACACACACCGGCATTAAATCAGGGCATTAAAACATGCAAGGGGTAGAGGAGGCATATTTTCTCAATTTTTAAAAAACTACATCAAATCAGAAATCAGATACAGGCTCATTAAAGGAAAAATGTTACCTTAACTCTTAGGAAAGTTAAGCATATTCATCTGGCCCACAGATCATCAGATCATCATTTTTGCAAAACAATCCTGGCATCTAGAAATCTTTTTTGTTTTGTTTGAGGAAAAAGTAATTTCAAATAGTTGGAACAATTTACTTTCATATAAAAATCTGTTTAAAATTGTATAATTTATGATCCAATAGAAACACATCTTCCTTTTTAGCATATTCTCATAAAGTGGATTTTATAAAGGTACATTTTATCTGTTTCGAAAGACATTTCTCCATTTGTTAAAAATGCCCTTTAAATATCAATGAGAAGCACTTTAAATCCCTAGGATTTAACTTGAACTATAAATGACACAAGGAAATACCAGAAGAGGAAGCATTCACCTATGCACCTGTGCACATCTTGTTGCAATAGTACGAGATTTAACTGCAAACGTTCTTAAATTTTAGCAAATAATATTCGCTCCATTAAATCTCTCCTTCCTCTTTTTTATCCCATGCCCCCAAAACTTCACTGTAATCTGCTCCAACAGAGGTTGTGTCCAGTTTGAGTAAATCCCTTAACTGTTACTTGCAATAACTTCCTTTAAAGCCTTATTCTTAAAATATTGTGCCACTATTAAAACATACTCCCAATCGGCATTAAAAGATCACTTAAGAACCGCCGTAGCAGAGCCAGGTGCCAATAGCCATGACATACAGAAGCTGTGCACAAAAACCAGACTCCCTGCCTGGACTCATGGTAGAATCACCTGTGCTTAGGCATCATCTTACCCTCCCGGAAGGATTCTGATTCAGCTGGTTTGGAATGGGGCCCAGGAAATGACAGATTTTAAAGCTTCTCAGGTGATAACAATATGCAGTTGCATCTAGAACAGCTGACTGAAGCTCTAATTTACACACGTGACAGGTCAAACAAAACAATTGAGAATAATTGAATTTATTCCACCAGCCAAATACATGGACCATATACTCACATAAAAAATCTAATTAAAAAGAAAAAGACTACATGAGAAAGGTAGAAATTAGACAGCAGGAGAAAAGAATAATTCAAAATTTTCTCTAATAATTGTTTTGTCTATGGTTTCATCATTTCTAATGAGTAAATGTTTTCCTAGTTGTATTTATAAATAAAATCCTTGAAGTACCTTAAAAAATCTGACTCTTACTAAATTCTGGCTCAAATGGTTTGTTTCAACTCAGTTTTGATGAGGACTCGCCAATAAGATATTTATATGACCACTGCATGCATAAAACTAGTACTTGTTGTGTGGTTCTATGTACGGAAAGGAAGCAAAAGCTGTGGGGTAGAGAAAGGACAGAGAGCAAGGAAATCTCTTAGGAGAAAGGAGCAGATGTAGGAGAGTTGAGTCAGGTGAATAATGAAGAGCCTGAGCAGTTCTGTGAATTGCTATGAATTCTAACTCTGAAGTCCTAACAGTCTCTTTATCCAGAGCAATCTTCAATATAGGCACCTCATGAAGCCTGGATCTTAACTTGTTTTCTGCTTTTGGTACATATGTATCCTTACCTGTTGCCCTCTCTACACTCCTAGCTCTATTTCCCACCCCATCTTCCATTACTGGACTTACCCTGAGCTCAGCTAAAGTGTAGAGTGAAAGAAATGTCACTGCTTACTACCCTCTAGGCATGGCATATCTGTTCTGCACACCACTGGAAGATCAATCTCCCTAAAATATTCCTTCTAGTATTCTCCTGCCCCAAATCCTTCACTGGACCCATCACTAACTAGAAAGAAACAGTTCAGCCCCTTAACCTGACATTCAGTGCCTGCCATGACCTGGTCGTAACTTGACTTTCCTGATTTTCTTTCAATACAAGTCTGGAGCTATTCCATGCTCAAGTCCATCAGGTCTCCTAGGCACACCAGTTGCTTTTTATTTTACCTAGGCGCCTTTGTCCTTGTTTCCCATTTCCCACATGCCTAGGATTCCCATTATTCTTTCTATAATTTCCCTGGCTAAGCCAAATTCATGTCTATTCCATCAGATCTTGGGTATATGTGATTGTGTGTATGTATAGATGTATAAGTGAACTAGCACATATGTGCAGACATGAATACGTATATACACACAGGGCCGAATAAATTCTGAGAGGTCAGTGTTTGCAGCACATCACACAAGAAACCTACCCCTTTCCTTTTGTAATTGCTCTGACTTCAATACTGTCTTATAAATTGTCCAGCCTGTGCTCCACTTGGACAAGCTTATCAGAAACTCAGAAACAGGAATACTCATAAGTGCTCTGTCCTTGTCAACACTGAAGATTGAGAGATGAATGATAGGTTTTTAACCCCAAAAAGATCTTGGAAAATTTTAACAGCAGATGCAATGTGAGTGGGCCTCATCCAATCAATTGAAAACCTGAATAAAACATAAAAGCTGAGTAAGAGGGAGCTGGGCCTGCATGACAGAGCAGGGACATTGGCCTTTCCTGATCTTCGGACTTGAAATATTGGCTCTTCTTGCGTCTCTAACCTGATGGCTTCTGGACTGGAACTTACACTATTGCTTTTCTGGGTCTCAAGCCTTTGGACTTGGGCTGGAACTATGCATGGGCTCCCCTGAATCTCCAGCTTGCTTACTGCAAATCTTGGGACTCCTGCTTCTATAATTGCATGAGCCAATCCCATAGAATAAATCTCTTTATTTGTATTTATATGTGTAGACTTACATATTTATATGCATACTTACACAAATTTATATTTGTTTTATGCATTTATAAATGTATTGCCTATATATACATATACTATGTTTTCTTCTAGAGAACACTGAATAATACATACACGTAACTCTGTTTTTGTGCTGTTATTGTTCTAGTACCTGTAAGATCAGACTACTACAGGTGACTGTTGTGCTATCTTTATTCAATTATGATACTCAACTATTCCCAAAATGCCTGACTTCTAGAAGATTCCTGGGGAAGAGAGTTGACAGAATTTAGAAATTATAGAATGACATGGCCTAATGAAAAAAGCAGAATGTCTTTGTATATATGTTTAATTTTTAAGTTGTCTTTTGAATTGGTAAAGTGGTAATCATGGTATACAATGTAGATATTCTTCAGCTTAAAAGCAGTTGATTATTCAATAGTCCTGGTACCAATTATTTGCGTGGTATATTATAGAGACCTGATGAGCTGTGTGTGGTCTATTTCATTCATTCATACTTCTAGTGTTATGTTTCTCCCTCTCTTTTTAACCTTATTGAGACTCTGACCTTCTGAACTTAGTTGCTGCATCTGGTTTCCTCAGACCAATTTGGAGAAATTTAAGTTGAAAACTCAATTTTCACCAAGTCTGCCAATCACTGACTAATGGAGTACATTTGATCTCTGAGTGAAGCTTTAAAAAATCCATCTAAAGCTCTGTGTTACAGTGGCACAGAAGCAATCTGACACTTGTAAGGAAAGATAGCCTTATGTTTCTATTTTAAAAGCCATATTATATTTGTTCTGATTTTATGCTAATTTACATGCATCATCATAAGTGGCTTTGAGTACTGATCTTTTCTTTCATAGTGATGAAAATAATAAAGTCTTAGAGATTTGCATTCTGGTGTGAGGATCTGTATTTCTCTTTTACTTCCTCTGATAATTACCCAGTTTCCTTCAAATCATTCTCTACTAATTTAGAAGACCCTGTCTGTGATAGGGAGTGTCTCTGTCTTAGAAAAAACTGAAAGAGGGCCGGGCGCCGTGGCTCACGCCTGTAATCCCCCCACTTTGGGAGGCTGAGGCAGGAGGATCACGAGGTCAGGAGATCGAGACCATCCTGGCTAACAAGGTGAAACCCTGTCTCTACCAAAAATACAAAAAATTAGCCAGTTGTGGTGGCACATGCTTGTAGTCCCAGCTACTCAGGAGGCTGAGGCAGGAGAATCGCTTGAACCCGGGAAGCGGAGGTTGCAGTGAGCTGAGATCACGCTACTACACTCCAGCCTGGGTGACAGAGTGAGACTCCATCTCAAAAAGAAAAAAAAGAAAAAAAGAGAAAAACTGCCAGAGAATCAGGGAGAGACTGTTTCAAATTTCTACTACAAGCCAGTGATGGGGATAGAATTAATTTCTAAGCCACCTCATTCTACTTTAAAAAGCACTGTACATTTTTACCTCATGGCCTCTTTCTCATCTATTTTCCTCTAGTAAAGCATTTTGTAATCAACACAGAAATATGATGAGAGTTATAGCTAAATGGCTAAAGTTTATGCACACTTGCTTGGTATTATTCTAAGCACTTTACAATTTCTGATCTAATTATTGAAACAACCCTGACTTTACAGAAGAGGAAATAGTCACAGAGTTCAGTAATTTGCCTAGAGTTAAATTGTAGCAAGTGGTAGAGCCAGAATTTGTATCCAAGCATTCCAGATCCAGAGCCTTCTGCTTTAACATATGATTTGTCTCCCACTCTGCTATGCCAACATCACAGGTCAGAGCTTTGGATCATTGGGCTTTAGGAAATCCTTTGCAATTCTGAGTTACTAAATTATTATAGAAAGGATTTGATTTTACGGCTTGTTTTTAAATGTCAGAGAAAACTAAGAGTTTCCAGGCATTATAGGTTTTTCTCTTAAAATATCTTAAGGGTCCATATAATGGCATTTGCTGCATGATGTCAATTCAAGTTAATGCACCTGTTAAATATCTGTGATTTAATGAGAAAACTAGACATGGATGAATTAGTATGTTGCAAGTGTGATACTCAAATGACTTTACTAACAAAATTCTTTAATAAGTTAATTCCTTAAAGATCAGACAAATACCTGCTACTCAAGTCCCTTATATCACCCCCAAGTTACTTGTGACACTTCCTCCCTGGACCATCTGCTCTTGACATCTTCTCTTCCCTATCATCAAAACTTGCTTCCCACAGGGCTTTGCCAGGCTAGTCTGTTAAGCGATTTTAGTCCCTATCACTCACACCCCGCATCCCAACTAATTTGTATTTTAACAAAACTTGTGGGAACAAACTCTTATTCTAAATGAGTAACTCTATTCAGGTTGGTGGAGCTGCTATTTGGGAGCATCTGAGTCTCAATTTAAAGTTCTGAATTAGGTCAGTTTAAATATGGGACTCCCTTAGCAGACACAGACCTAGCAGCCCAATTATTTTTTCCATGGGGAAAAGGGTATGTCCTCCAGGTAGGAGGTGCTATGTCCTCTTCAGACACTAACAGAATTTGAGTGTAATTGCAACCAAGTCATTCATCACAATTACTTTTTATTTTTATCAATGCCTCCATGGTTTATCCTGTCACTATGTTCATGGTGCCTGTATTAGTCTGTTCTCATACTGCTACAAAGAAATACCTGAGACTGGGTAATTTATAAAGAAAGAGGTTTAATTGACTCACAGTTCTGCATGGCTGGGGAGGCCTCAGGAAACTCACAATCATGGTGGAAGGCAAAGGGGAAGCAAGCTTAGGCCTTCTTATGTGACAGCAGGGGAGAGAAGTAGTGTGTACAGAAGGAAAAGTCAAACACTTATAAAACCACCAGGTCTCATGAGAATTCACTCATTATCATGAAAACAGCATGGGGGAAACCACCCCCATAATCCTATCACTTCTCACCAGATTCTTTCCTTCAGGCCTAAGGATTACAATTCAAGATGAGATTTGGGTGGGGACAAAAAGCTAAACCATATCCATGTCTGTGTCTGCATGTATTTCCTCTGTGATGTGGGCCTGTCAGTCTCTCCAAGTCACAAAATGGGTCTCCTTTAACTGAGTCTCTGGCTAGGTCAGTCCATGAGTCTGGGCACAGCAAGGAAGGTGAGACTTGGAGTGAAGGGAGTATTCCTGTTTAACTATAGGGATTCTATTAATTCGTCTCTCAGAATTTTCACAGAGAATCAGGCTGAATTAGAAATGCTTTACAGTGGGAAGTGGTATAATGGAAAAGTATCCACAGAGGGTTCAGGTTCTGCTCTTGGGTTCTCATTCTAACAAAAACCCAAGCTGGGGAACCCAACTTGCTTTTCTCTGTCAAATAAAGGATCTCAAAAGTTTTCTTCAGTTCTAAGCCTTGATGCTTCCCAGTGTTCCATTTGTCCTTTGTTCACAGGGTGGCCTGTGCCAGACTGCCCGGACTCACTCCTGCACCACTTATTAGTGGTGTGACCTGGGGCAAATTTCTCTGTGTCCCTAAGCTGTAGCTGCTTTATTGGAAAAATGGCGTAGCAATAGTACCCATTCCATAGAGTGATGGAGGATTAAATGAGTTAACCTATGTGCCTGGCATGTGGCAGGATGTAAGAGGATGTAAGAGATTTTATTAACATCATTGTTATCATCATCGTAGGGTGCCAATTATAATTAGTTGGTAGTAAGTACATGAATGGCGAGGAACTCTTAGGGATCTTCGGAAAAGAAGGTTAGAAAGAGGATTCCTGAGATGAACATCTATATGTGCCAACACAGTTTTCCCCCCATGGAACCTGATTTTGATTTCTGACTTCCATTTCAAATAATCAGAGGCATTAGAGTTTAATTACATCTAATAATTTAAAGTACATTTTAGTTCATGCTGAAGGCCCCAGATGGAAAGATAAGCACTAAGCAGAATCCCAGTAGAAGAGCTGGATAGAATACTAAAATCAATAGAAATAAAAAATTTCATTTGTGCACAATGTTTTGCCAGTCCCCTGCCAGGCAGGTAGGAGATTTTATAAACCTCTGTTCCTTTATATCTTTCACTGTGTTAGTCACAGCATCTGGACTGAGTTATAATTACATCTTTTTAGGGCTGTTTTCTTCTAGGTCCCATATGGGGGTGGTTCTTCTCTCACCTTCCACATGGACCTTTATGTCCTCTCTTCACTGTTTTCATTTAGACTCTTTTTTTTTTTTTGAGGTGGAGTCTCACTCTGTCGCCTAGGCTGGAGTGCAATGGTGCGATCTCGGCTCACTGCAACCTTCGCCTCCTGGGTTCAAGTGATTTTCCCGCCTCAGCCTCCTGGGTAGCTGGGATTACAGGTACCCACCACCATGCCTGGCTAATTTTTGTATTTTTCTGGAGGTGGGGTTTCGTCATGTTAGCCAGACTGGTCTTGAACTCCTGACCTCAGGTGATCTGCCTGCCTTGGCCTCCCATAGTGTTCGAATTACAGGCGTGAGCCACTGCGCCCGGCCTCATCTAGCCTCTTAACTGATAGGTACATTAGTTAATGTCCAGTGAAGTTGGACATCATTGTGTTACATAAACAGAGTTGGGCTTATAAACGATAGGTGGGAGCATCTTTCAGTTAATCAGATTTGTACAATTGGAATGGTGAATATTGACACAGTTACCTTGAAGAAACTAGGCATACTGAATTGACATCAACTATAAGAAATTTGCCATTAAAAATCTTTATAAGTTCTTGTATATGAAAAGCTTTATAAACTAGAATATCCTATGGAAATAAGATATTGTAGTTAGTTCTACTACTTAAACCTAGTGATTTTTAAATCAATTGGGCATCCTAAAACAATGAATAGTTTTTAATTGCTGGAGGGAGGGAAGGCATCACTACATCACTACTGCAGGTGGGATTTTATAGAATTATAAACCAATCTGCTCACTTAGACATTCTGTCTGCCTAAATTGTCATGTGTTAATTCTCTTTAGTCATATTACATCTGGAGCAGAGCATTGCACTTAACTGTGCAAATCAGAAGGATTTATCTTACATCCTTATTAGTATTTCTCTCTTAATATTACCAGGGACCAATTCCTATTGAATAAACAAACTTGGAAAATGTTCTCCATGTGATTGTTAATACATATATGCATAAAACTCCACATATAAATCTATATAGGATAAAAATCTTAGCTTACATATGTTTAAAAGAAATCAAATTAGAGCTCTCAAGATACCAGCATATCTTATACAGGACGATGATTTTTTACAAAAGGGCATGTTTTAATTTTTGGATTGCATCAATCAAAAATATTCAATACAAAATTTTAGTTTATTAAATTAAAAATTCTAAGTGGTCATTAAAACTGATAACCTAGACCGGGCATGTTGGCTCATGCCTGTAATCCCAGCACTTTGGGAGGCTGAGGCAGGCAGATCATGAGTTCAGGAGTTCGAGACCAGCCTAGCCAACATAATGAAACCCCGTCTCTACTAAAAATACAAAAGTTAGCCTGGCATGGTGGCGTGTGCCTGTAATCCCAGCTACTCGGGAGGCTGAGGCACAAGAATCACTTGAATCCAGGAGGTGGAGGTTGTGATGAGCTGAGATTGCACCACCACTCCAGCCTAGGCAACAGAACGATACTCCATCTCATACAAACAAACCATCATCAACAACAAAAAACTGATAACCTAGTTGGAGTAGATTTGATGAAATGAAATGATGAACTAGCTTTCCTGGTTGAATCAGCAGCAAACATTTGTTAATAACTCTCCAGATTTTACAGGATCAGGCCAAGGAGCAGATGGGATACAGATTTCTAATACAGAATGTCACCGCAAGAGTGCTGCTCCTTTTCCAGATGCTTTTCCTGGGGGCAGTTGGATTGTGAGAGCTGCACTTTGCAGGAGCCTGGTTACTGTTTCTGTGAATAAGATAAAATGGTGTTTATCCTCTGTCGATCAATACTGTCTTGTTTGAACTTATTGAGTCATTTTAGAGACACATAAGGTAATGAAAACCATTGTGCAATAGTACCCACAGTACTACTCAGCTTTCTAAGGGATGACAATTTTTAAAAGACAGTTACTGAAACAGATTTTTAACATCAACTGCCTCCATGATGAAATGAGCATGCACTGTGTCAGGGTGTCCCATGGGTTTGGGTGAAAAGGTGTTGGGGTTTTATAACTAAGAGTTTTCTTCAGCAATAATCTCTAAAATAAAAATATACTCTGTGTGTGTGCTTTAATACTAAAAAAATTTACAGACTGTCTTTCTCTGAATAAATGGAATAGTGCTACTATTTGTGATTAATCAAAATTTTTTATGTACAGTTTGTGATTTCAACTTTATTAGTATTGTTTTGAAAAACAAGGCCTAATAGGTATACTTGGGCAATTTTAGAAAATTTTTCTGGAGGTTGTTACAAATAGGAAAATGAAAAGGGAAGTGGGGTTTTTGCTGAATTCTTAAGTACCGGGGACCACATTTCTCTCCTTTGCTTTATCATCTAATTTAAACTTCACAAAATACTATGGGTCAGATCTTACCCCCATTTCACATTTGAGGAATCTGAGATTCAGTGGAGTCAAACAATATGCCCAAGGTCACAAACCTAGGGAGTTTTACAATAGGCGTTTCCACTTAGCTGTGTCGAGGCACAAAGCCTAGTGTTCTTTCCGTAATTAATTTTAAAAGTTTCTCAGATAGGCATAGTCCTATTTGGTGGAAGACTAGACTCTAAAGTCCTTTAGATTTTTCAACTGTGATTATTTCAATGGATTCTGATTGTTCTGAATGCTGGACATGGGCTATAAAAGCGATTTGGTCTTTCTTGTTCTGTATTCTGAGAAATGCCAATTTTGAGAGATATTGATAGATGTTCCTGAAAGAAGATGTTCTGTTGTAAATTAAGCCCAGGAAACAAAACGTTGCCTACTCTCTTAGATAGTTGTGATAAATGACAATATTTGCATGTGTCATGAGTCCCCAGTGCTCGAGCGTATGATATAATGGTTACGTGCTTGGGCTCTGGATCAGACTACCAGACAAAGGAGCCTGGCTCTGCCACTTGCTAACTGAGTAGCTGAGCCTGTTAGGTAATTTGTCTGTGCCTCCATTTTCCCATTTATAAACTGTTATAATAGTATCACACCATAGAGTTGTTCCAAGAATAACATGAGATAATGCATGGAGAGAACTTAGAAGTAGACCCGATAATATAGTGCTTCACAGATGCTTGTTATCATTATTACTCAAAACACTCATGTGGTAACAAAACCTGCTATAACTTTTCTAACACTGTTTCCTCAACTTACTTGACAATGGAGTTGCTTTTCTTTTGAGCCACATTTATTAACATCCACTGAATATAGTGTAGGAAATGTTGATATTTGAAATGACATAAAACCACCTTGGCATTAGTGCAGTAGAAAATAAGAACAAAGTATTTATAGTGTTTTAATATCCATTATGTCATTTTATAATGTTTGCCCACAACAATATTTCTTTTCCTTGCCAGCTGTCTTCTTTTTTCCCTTGAAATCGATAAATAGTAAAATAGAACAGTAAAATGTTAAGAGTTGTCTGAAATGGGCAGAGTCAATGTTATTCCAGAAAGTATGAACCTTATAAGTCATTTGTCTCTTTCTCTGTATTTAGCAGGGCAAAACCTTACTGCTTTGACAAATAAGTGATATCACTGTCATTTCCAGACCTGTGCTCCCATTGCATGCTCCATAGCACACGTTATAAAGAAAATTTCAGAGCAGACCAACACATTTTTTGATGCTCCTAAACTATAACTAGAGCTGAATTTGCCAAAATACGATCTATAAAACACTAATCCTGCACAATGTGCAAATAATGCTGTGTTCTTCATCTTCTTGGAGATATACAATACATATCTGAAAAGTCCTATAGTAAATAAAATTGTTTAGTTTGGAATCCTTTCTTCTTGGAATTTACATAGGTAATCATGACAAAAAGTCAGAGAGTTTAGGGGGTTTCTGGTAAAAATGGGATATTTTTGGTAAATGTCCAGATTGATTTCTTTCTTTAGCTAAAATACCATTATAATGTTTTTGGAGTACACAAAAAAAATATGTGAAAATATATCCACCTCAGCACAGTTGCCCAAATTGTGGAAACAATATAATAATTAGCCATTCCAAGGTTCAGATTTAACACACTGAAAACCAGTCATTTTCCATAATATTTTTTTGGTCAGAATCAAAAGTGAATAGTTTAAACATTCCTTTGGTTAGCAAGATAATGGCAGGCGGAATCGCAAGAGTTGTACCAAGACTTTCTTTTTTATGGTGGTAGTAGCTCTGGAGATAATTGAATATATGAAGTCTAAAGTATGATAGGAATTATGACCCACACACAGAACTCAAAATCTGCTGGTGATGTTAATACTATTTCTTTTGTTAATTATATTTTTGTTTCTCAGGGTCCTAGGATTGGGACAGGCACTCAACCACAACTCTCCCTGCTGTCTGGTTAGAGCTAAATAAACTTCTCACAACATTGGCTCCACTCTTGAACCCTCCGTGGTAAGTCTACAGAAATTTATTAAATCCTGGCAGCTATCTCATTTAGAGATTATATAATAATTCCAATATATTCTTTTGTTTTCTGGTTGTTTCATTAGTCTAAAAACAAGCTAGATAATTCTTTGAATTAGGCTCGATAACAGAAGAGGGTAAAAGCTGTTTTCACTGCATTCCCACTGATACCACAATACACAGTTTCACAGAGTTGAAATAGAAAAAAGCAAAACACATGGATCATACCTGAGTAATTTCAGAGATCCCCACCCGGAAAAGGTTTCCTTGATTATGGCGAATTCAACGTGTCACTCGGGTTATGCTCTAATCGTCATATCAAACTCCAAAGGTTCAGTGGCTTTAGGTTTGGTTTACAATTCCTGGGAGTTAAACTTTAACTCACCCTGTCTCTTGCATCCATGCAGCCCTTTGACCAGATAATTGGGTCACTACAGCCCAGATATAATCTACTAAAACTATCTTTGTTATTTGTTTATAAAATTAAAATAAATGTTGTAAAAATGTTGGGGTAAATATTATTTTGAAGATATTTTATTGGCTTATACGATATATTTAAAAAGTAAAAACTCACTGCAATTGGATACCTAAGCTTTCCTTTATGTTACTTCCTTTGTTTTTTACTATGTCAAAGTGATATTATAGCTAAGGTAATTTAGGAGAATATTTCTTTGTTTTACACTTTTTATATCACTATATTACATGGAGTAAAGTGTGGAGTTTTAGGTCAAGTACGTAGATAAATGCTGGCTTACAAACAGAAAATACACAAAGCATTTATATAACAAAGTAGATAGATTTAGGCCAGATCAGGTTGGGGAAAGCATACTTCTTTGTATACAAGCTGCTCATTTAGATTTTAAGAGGAGGCCACTGTGTGAGAAGCACAATAATCAGCTACATACTGGGGTTATATGATAGCTGATGCTATTGTTCATTGCCTGAAATCTCAGTGGTAACTGAGTTTCTTGAAAAATAGAGAAATGGTGCTTTCAGAAATACAAACATTATACTCTGAGTTCTCTGGTAAGAGCTGTAGTCTACAGAAGAAATCCCTAAGGGTAATAAAGCCCACATTTAAAAAAGGAAGAAGAACCAAAACCTTCCTAATTTTGAGTAAATTTTGGTTTAAGAGCTTGGAAACCACACATTCCAAAACTAGAATTAGAGGATACCCCTACTTGCCTTTAGTTCTAGTAAAAGGAGTCTAATTTTCTAGGAACCAACTATTAAGAGAGCATTTTTGTCTATAGAAAAGCACAAAACAAGCAATCCTTCTATAATATAGACGCAAAGGAAGATCCATCAATTAAGCACATCTATGAATATGTAAGAGAAGAGATAAAAGATACTGTTGGAATGCTAGTTCTGCTTACAGTTTTTAGTTCTCAAACATGGAATTATTTCAGTTCTCAAACATGAAATGATTTACCATTTTCCCATAGCAATGGATGATAGAGTTTAACAAAAACACCCCAGGAACAATTGTTTTACCCCAGAATTGCTCCCCTGATGTTAGACCTAGAGAAAGCATTTATGCCCCACCCAGCTAGATAGCTGAATGAGGGACACATCCCTCTACTTCCTTCTTGGGAAGGGATTCCCTCACAAAGTAGCCCTGATGGTTTCCTAGTGAAAGCTCAGTCTGGGGTTGCATGGTTCCCAATTGAGTGGGGAATTCTTTGAGTTTGCCCAGTCCAATAAAGAACTGTTGATGTTGTAAGATGGACAGTTTTGAGAGGGTTTCTTTTATTGTTTTTTGTGATAGGGGCTTAGATGGTGATAAGTGGAGATGAAGAAAGGAAAGCTAGGATTTTTAGGCATCTGATGGAAACACCAAAACACAACAGGTAAAAGGAACGATATTAACTAGAGTCTCAGTCCATTCAGGTTACTATAATAAAATACCATACAAGGCTGGGTGTGGTGGCTCATGCCTGTAATCCCAGCACTTTGGGAGGCTGAGGCAGGTGGATCACAAGGTAAGGAGATTGAGACCATCCTGTCCAACATGGCGAAACCCCATCCCTACTAAAATACAAAAAAATTAGCTGGGCATGGTGGTGCACACCTGTGGTCTCAGCTACTTGGGAGGCGGAGGCAGGGGAATCACTTGAACCCGGGAGGTGGAGTTCGCAGTGAGCCAAGATCATGCCACTGCACTCCAGCCTGGGCAACAGAGTGAGACTTCATCTAAAAACAAAACAAAAGAAAACAAAAAGAAAACCATACAGTGGGTAGCTTCAACAACAAACACTTGTTTCTCATCGTTCTGGAGGCTGGAAATCCAAAATCAGGGTGCCAGCAGGACCCTCTTTTTGGTTATGTCCTTACATGGCCTTCCTTGGTGCATGCATGCAGAAAGAGAGATCTCATGTCTTCTCCTTTTTAAAAATAAGGGCACCTATTTTTAAAATGAGGGACCTAGGTCCTGAGGGTCATGAGGGACCTAGCCTCATGACCTACTCTAACCATAATTACTTCCAAAAGGACCTATTTCCAAATACCATCACATTGGGGGTTAGGGTTTCAACATATTAATTTTAGGAGAAACACAAACATTCAGTCTATTGTAACCAGTTATTAAAAACATGTCAGTTGCTTATTTGATGGATCCTGGCATTCAACAGGGCAGGACTACAATCGCATTAACCCAAAATCTGATGATTTCCGTAGGACAATTCATATATTACTCCTAACAGCCAGTGGTAGTAATGAATTTGGTAGTAATGAATTATTAGGTTATTGCTTTCTATTTTTATTGCTTTTGTTTTTTAAACCATTTTGTTACAAGGATAGGAATACACTGATCAGGAATAAAAATAAAAACAATGGATCAGCCTTTCTTTTTCTGAGGGGTACTTAGAGAGAAAGTCTCTGGCCCTGGGACAGAGAAACCAATCCATCAGAATGAGATCAAATTTATGACCTTGATCTCATCAGTCTAATCAAGAGAGCTAACTGTACCCAGGATGGCAAGATTTGCCTTTACTTTGTAAAAATAAACCAGTTTAGATAGTGGCTGGTAAATGTGAATTTTCTATTACTTTATTCTACAAACAATTACTGAGAAACTTCTCTCTGCTAAGTGTTGCATTAGAAAGGTGATTACTTAAAATGAGATTTGAGTCTATTAGTAGGCTATAAAATCAATAAAGTGGGTTGTATCTAACATATTAAAATAGAACAGAAAATATCAAGTGAATTGCATCTAGAAAGGGTAATACTGGCCAGGCGCGGTGGCTCATGCCTGTAATCCCAGCACTTTGGGAGGCCGAGGCAGGCGGATCACCAGGTCAGGAGATCAAGACCATCCTGGCTAACACGGTGAAACCTTGTCTCTACTAAAAATACAAAAAATTAGCTGGGCGTGGTGGTGGGTGCCTGTAATCCCAGCTACTCGGGAGGCTGAGGCAGGAGAATGGCGCGAACCTGGGAGGCGGAGCTTGCAGTGAGCAGAGATCGGGCCACTGCACTCCAACCTGGGTGACAGAGCGAGACACTGTCTCAAAAAAAATACAAACAAAAAAACCAAAAAACAAAAAAGAAAGGGGTAATACTATTTATGAAACTTTTTTTCTAATTATGTATCTATCTGTGTGTATTGGTTATGAAGTAAACTTTATTTTTTATTGTGGATCACAATTTTAAGCGTTTGGAAAATACTGTGCTAGTCTTAAGGGATTCAGTGGTTAACAGACCAGATGGAAGGTACACACATTAAGCATATACCCCAATGATTAACTAATTATAGTTGTAATAAGTGTTATGAAGGAGAAGTACAGAATGCTAAACAGAACATAAAACATAGGGACCTAACCTTGTGTAGGGCTGGGTGGGTTGGGAGGTACTTGAGGAAAGCCTTCCAGAACACAAGACATTTAAGCTGAGACCTGAAGGATGTGTGGATGGGAGGTGGGCATTCTAGTGAGTGGAAATAGCTCATAGGGATGCCCTGAGTTCGCATGAGTTAGGCACATTCAAAAAACTGGTAGAAGGTCGGTTGTGAAGGGCAAGAGGGAAAATGATGGGGAAATTGACTGGAGTAGGTAGCCAAGTCAGACGATTCATAAAGGGCCATCACTAGATTCCCAGCATTATCCAGGGCCAATGGGAAGGAAGTCACGGAAGCATCTGAAGAAGGGGAGCCACTTGGACTATTTGTGTAGATTCTGGGTGTAGAGTGGAGAATAAATTGCCATGGGATAACACTGCCTGCTTCTCTCCTTTTTTTTTTTTTTTTTTTGTTGTCTTAGAATAATTTTACTCTTGTACATATTCAAGTAAGTTGGTGATTTGAACTTGAAGGAGGCAAAGCATCTAAAAGAGACCAGTAAGAGGGGAGGTGGCAGGTGATGGTAGTTAAGATTAGGGTGGTGGCTCTGGGAAAAGAGAAAAGTAGACAAGGTCCATGAAATGTGTAGGAGGTAAATCATCAAGAGGATATGGGAACTGAGCAGGGCATGACATCTAAAGGACAAGTCTCAAATTACTGAATGCAGCCATTGGCTGGATGGTGATACTATTTGCTGAAATGAGAATGCTCAAAAAAGAAGAGACTTACAAAAATAGGCTATACCAGGTCCATAGTAAGTACTCATTCGGTGGTTGCAATGATCAATCATTCATACATGAAATATTTGGCTTATGGATTTTAACGAATCTTGCTTTCACTATCAGAGTACATTTAGGTAAAAATCATTAATTTTTGCTGGTGAAGGCAAAACGTAAAGCTTAAAAAAAAAACAAAATATAACTAAAAGTCAAAGATTACCAAGAATAAGAAGCTTCCTTCCCTGCCACCATCCTCCCTGCCCTGGCTCAATAAAAATATCTCTTGCAGGTGGATCATGAGGTCAGGAGTTCGAGACCAGCCTGGCCAAGATAGCAAAACCCTGTCTCTACTAAAAATACAAAAATTAACCAGGCATGGTGGCTGGTGCCTGTAATCCCAGCTACACGGGAGGCTGAGGCAGGAGAATCACCTGAACCTGGGAGGTGGAGGTTGCAGTGAGCCAAGATCGCACCACTGCACCCTAGCCTGGACAACAGAGCAAGACTCCATCTCAAAAAAAAAAAAATCTCTTCATTGATTTCAGTGTCCTTGGAATTCAACATTCTATTTTTGAGTGTTTGGTGGGTGTGTGGGTGGGGTTGTTTAATTCACTGGAAGGGAGCATTTCAAAGAATTGAAGGGCCACATCAGGCACACTGAGTAGTGCAAAAGCCTCCTTCTCTTTCCTTGCCTATTGACTAGAAAGTACTCTGATCCAGGAGTTGGGACCTTAGCACTTCAATCCCAAGACACTATGACTTATGAGCTACTTAGCCTTGAGGAAGTTTCTGCCCCTTTTCTGAGTCTGAGTCCTTGCCTTTCATGGGGAAAATAACTACATCCCTGATCTACCTCACTGATTGTTGAGAGGGTCAAGGGAATTGATATATGTAAAAATGACTTGAAAATAATAGAATACCATGTATTTACAGAGTGGGATGATTGCAAAGCAGATTAGATCTGTAGCCTTTGAGGTGATGTCAGTGCAACTTCTTGTTTTGATCTGTGAAATAAGAACTTCTAGGATTTATGCCTGTTCCTTTGGAGATTCATAACATTTCAAACCTAAATGCTCAATGCTATTCTTAATGTTTGCAAGACTTTGGAAGACAGCAGAATTTGATTCAGTGGGTTAGAATTCATCTGTTTGCATAATGTCATATCCCAGAGTTTTAGATTTTTGAAAATGTATCGGTTTTGTAACTGGAGCCATCTAGTGTTGAGTTGATTAAGCACACACACAGGTACACACACACACACACACACACACACACACACACACACTCTCTCTCTCTCTCTCTCTCTCTCTCTCTCTCTGTCTCTCTCTCTCTCTCTCCTTTATTTTGTGCTTTAGGAAATTGCATCTTTTTCTCCTGGCACATTAGAATGGTGTTTTAGTATAACATAATTGTAGGATCTGATGAGAACTTAAGAATTAATGTAAAGCCCTGGCTACATCTAAAAACCATGGTAACAATGGGATGCTAGCCTGGCCCTGACCTTTCACCCTGAGTTAAGTACCTCCCACCTTTCCTTGTTCCTTTTCATCCTTACTCCTTTGTTTAATGAGTGTTCTTGAAATTAGAATTTTTAAATGTGGTCTTCTTATTTTTTTAAAAAAGAAATATTATTTAGCTCAACCAACATAAAAGCAAATACTGATTTTGTGTAAAAGAGCAATTTTAGAAAAAGAAATCCAGCTACCAAATCTGGTGTATTCCTTTAGTCATGTTAGAAAATTACAGATCATCGGGTCTTTAATCTGTACTAGAATCTGCTCCATTCTCTTTACTGTAAAGAAACAAATTCTCATAGAAAAATCTGCACTCGCTTTTATACAATGACCTGAGAAAAAGTTATCACATAACCTCTCTTTTAATGATCATGTCATTACCTATCTCTTTGAGTTAATTTTACTAAGTTTTGATAAAAAGAGATATATTCTTTTCAAAAGGTAGGGGACACTGGAGGAAGCAAAGTTAAAATAAGTATACACATGTGTTTGTGTGTGCACCACACAAACATTTGACAGATGACTAACGAATGACTCTGAGAAGCTAACTACGTCAATTTAGGCAGTATTTTTTCATTTTTTTCACAATAAAAACTAGATCTGGCCACTATAATTTCCAGAATTTAAATCAGGACTAATTCGTCAAATCCATACTTTCTATATCCAAGTAGAAAACATTTATCAATAAAATAAAAAGGGCATTTTTTTTCTGATTTTCTTAATAAATACAAGAAAAACTTGAGAGTTAAGAGTAACAAAAGTGGAATACTGAAATGCTAATTGTATGCATTCATACATTTTCAAATGGAAAAAAAAGAAATCTGAAACTAATGGCAAGATTTTTGTGAAAAGAATATTAACCTTTCAAACAAAACTGAGGTTATGTTTGAGGAGCTGAATTCTCAATTTGTGTTATTTGTAGCTTATGCAAAATGGAAAATAACCTTTCAAATGTGCTTTGCAGTTTCCATTATACTTTCAGTGGATCTTAACAACAATCATGTCAGTATTAGAAGCTGGTAGAGTATAATGTTAAAAAGCATGGGTTTTCAGCCCAGTTACTTGGGTTTTTAATATCCCGAATCAACTACTCACTGATTACCTGCTTTCAGGTAAGTCATCTCACTCTCAAAGCATCTATTTTCCCATCTAGAAATGGGGATAATAATAGCACCCACCTCATAGAGTTCCCATAAAACTCAGAGGAGAGATGTGTTGGCAAGTGCTTAGTCTAGTGACAGATTCATGTTAAATATTTACCTAGATTTGGAAGGGTGGGGAGATAGGAGGGGGATGAGAGATGAGATATTACTACTTAATATTACTTAATGGGTACAATATACACTTTTTGGGTCATGGTTACACTAAAAGCCCGGACTTAACACTATGCAATATATTCATGTAATAGAACTGCATTTCTACCCCTTATTTAACAAGAAATAAAAATATTCACCTATATTAATTTTATATTAATCAGTTTTAAAAGGAGTCTTCAACATTAACTGTATTTCTTCCATTATCCTAGCAAACAAAAATGAAACTGTGATTCTATGTAGTCTCAAAATACACTGCTTTGAAAACCATAGTGTTTTCTGTCACAAGGTCTAAGCCCATCTGCATGGCTTGGTTAAAAACATTATGTATTTACACTGTGGAGTGTTTTGAGCTTCATGCTTTGAGTTTCATAGATCACTGTGGAAATTAAGACGTTGTTATATGTATTTTATCCTTACATCAACTCTGGGAAGTAGTTAGAGCAGGGGGTGCAATTTCTTCTGTTTTGAAGAAGAGGAGGAAAATGAGATAATAAGGTTAAATGTTTTGTGCAAAGTATTGTCACACCAGGAACCAGCTTGGGGTACAGCAAAGCATACAGGCTTTGGCCCTTGACTCTCTAAGAGACCTTGGAAGGTGTCTTAATGTCTTTGAATATCAATGTTCTTATTTGTAAAGTAGGGTTATTAATCTCCAAGTTATATTTTTTAAAATAATTAAATGATCTATGTGTTTGTACCATAAGTGAGCTGTGTGTGTAAAATATATATGTGCACATATACATATATACATTTTACATCTACACACACACATGCACACAGAGAGACACATATAAACACAGCTTGCCGGTTCTGTTTCTCTGGAGCACCCTGACTAATACATCTTTCTAGATCACAGAATATTCCAATTGAAAGGAAGTCTAGAAAGACTGTCTTCTGATCCTGTTTTACAGATGATGAGAATCACTTGGAGAGGTGAAATGATAGAGCTGGGCATACTGCTCTCTAAAGCCTCACTAAGAGCACTTTGTTAGTGATTTTTGGCACTAGAAAAGTGGGAAACGGGCCCAGGTAGGTTATGACTGCAGCATGAGGAACCCCAGCACACAGAGGACGAACTACGCAAACTTCAGTAGTCCTCACACAGCCTGCCTCTCTCTCTCTCTCTCACACTCTCTCTCTCTCCCTGTCTCCCTCCCTCCCTCCCTCCCTCCCTCTCCCTCTCTCTCTCTCCACACACACACACACACACACACACACACACACACTTGCTGGAAGCAGACTACTATAAAACCTACATTTGAAATTTGACAGTAATCAAACAGGGGTGATAAATTAAGAAACGAACAGACAAAATTAATAAGTATTTTTAAAACAGCAACTCTGAAACAGAAGCAACAAATTCTGAAGGTAGATTGTCAAAGAATTATTCTCAGAGACATTTGATAGAAAGTTGCCTTCATTTAAAAAAGGTTACTATAAAAGAAAAATCTTGGACAACTAAAAATATATTCATTTCGGTATTATTGGAATTTTGACAGTAAGACATCTCAGTAGTATCTAGAATATTATTCTAAAAAGTTAAATCTACATACTGCTATTGGTGATGAGGTTGCTAAGTAAAGTGGTTGGTAAAGAGATGTTTAAACCAATTGAATTTGGTGTGTAGGAACAGAGTTGGGTCAAAAAAAAGAGAAGTCTGGGGTTGCTCACTGCCATTTGTTTTAACCTATCATATATATATATCATATATGACATATATATGACATATATATGACAGCTACTCTTCAGCACTCATATATATGTCATATATATGACACTTCAGCACTCATATATATGACATATATATGACATATATATGACACTCTTCAGCACTCATATATATGACATATATACTCATATATATGTCATCTATATGTCATATATATGTCATATATATGACAGCCACTCTTCAGCAGCCTTCTATATATATGTATACATATGTATAGATATATGTATATATGTATACATATATATATATATATAGAAGGCTGCTGAAGAGTGACTGTTTACTTTTTGTTCTTTTTTAAAAGAATGTTTTTTACAGTGCATAGAGCAGAATGGACATATTTTAAGTAGCAGGCAAATGTTTTTTCTTCCTCACTCTCTGCCGGTAGGGTGGTGGCAGTTGATGTTCTCTTGCCTTCTTTTCTTTTTCATTTTTAAAATCTTTATTTAGTGTTCACCAATCTCCTTCTTACATTTTGTTCTACTAAAATAATCAGGGAAAGAAACAGAACTTGGGTATAAATGCCTTGATGTGCAGCTAAGTTCAGTCTGGTTTTAGGAAGGAATGGCATCGGGGGCTACTGACCTCTGCTTTTGTGTTGCCCCTCATCACCTGGGTACTCATCGGCACCCTGTAACTATTAACTTCCCTTCCAGTGGTAAGATCTTGTGATTCTTTCATTCTGTGACTGTGATTCTACCAACTTGTTGTACCATGACTCCTAGAGGGCAGGTGCACTTGATGAGGTTAAAGTTCTGGTAAGTAGGAAGCTCAGAGTGAACTTTTGTGTGGACCATCAAATCAGAAGTTCCAATGAACAGGAAAAGAGAGAGAATATGAGATTTGGAAAAGTTTTTAGTCTGACTCTCTCTTTCAGTAATTGAGGTAATTGAGTCTCATAAGGAAATGACCTATACGGGTTGGCAAAAGGATCAGTTTGGAGGAGAACATAGGGAACTGAGATAAGAAACTCCTAAACTTCAATTCTGACATTAGAACTTGGTGAGTTCTAGGTTTGAACTGGGAGGTCAGTACTGGAGTGCACTGGGAAGACATGCTGAGTAGTAACACTACTAAGTACCTGGTAGGAAGGTGCAGGGGCTAAGCATTTGGGCCCTCAAGCTGGATTTCCTGCTTACTTCAAATTTAGAACCCCTATTCACTAGCTGTGAAATCTTGATGAAATTATTTAAATTTTTTTCTCTCTAAAATGGAGTATTTAAAAAATAAATAAATAAAATAAAATGGAGTATTTTTGTTTTGTTTTGTTTTTGAGAGGATCACGAAAATCTCTATTTTTCTATGAATTTGACAAAAATTAACAAATTATTTTAAATAGCATTAAAAATGGAAAACCTTACAATAAATAAAAAACTGAATTCATATAGAATTACATGTCAAGATCCTCATAGTTTGTTGTTACAGGAAAATAGAAAATTGCACAGCAATTCTATTGTATGATACCTTTTAATAATTCAAAAGAAAGCAAAAACACATGCATAGCAAACTGGATAATGTATTTGCATAAATATATAGTTATATATGTATTCCCATACATCAAATTTTACTAGTAGTGGTTTGTGAAAGAGGATTGAGGGGATAGATAAAGGAGGACTTCCAATGTATACATTCTGTTAAAATTTTCTCACTATTTTGCAGATTCACTAGAGTGTATCTAGGGCTTCCTCTAAGAGAACTTAGACTTTATTCAGTGCTAGAAATGATCAGCTGCTATCTCTTTACTATCGCCTCTGCACTATTCCCTATATTCTCTTCTGGATCTCACTTATAGATGATGATAGAGATAGATAGATAGATGATAGATATAGATCTATTTTAAAACGGTTTTGTTGAGATGTAATTCACATGATGTACACTCTATCCACTATTTAAAGCATTTTGAAATGTCTGAAACTGCTCTCCATGTTTCTTAACTGCTTTTTCTTTTTAAATAAAATGGGGGTATTTTAAGGATTAATTAAGATAATTCTATAAAACACTTAGTCTATCGTCTGGTGTACAGTAAGTATTCAATGAATGTTAACTGTAAATTATTTAAGTAAAACATGAGTTCCAATAATATGATTAGTTCATTATTCAGAAGGATTTAGTAATAAGAGAAGAAGGAGCGAGTCCTTTATTTGTTACTGACAAAGATATATAACAGAAAGTGAAAGGGCTCACAGTACATTGAGTTTGTGTCAAAACATAAATTTAAATGTATGTTTGGAGCTCATGACAGTGTTATTATATCTAAATCTTGGAGTAGGAGGATTGGAGAGGAAGCCATCTCATGGTTTAAAATGCATCCCAGATTGTGTTTGCTTTGGCCAACCAAAATGTTTCTTGATTTTTTTGCTGGAAATATTTTGGCCTGTCCACATGGATTACTTCTAATGCATTAACTTCACACAATGAAGCACCACTGAAAATGGAACAACCACACTTTACAACCTCACCCAGTTCTGTTCACTCAGTTGGAAAATGAGCTTCCTGTTAATGATAGTTATTGTGGATTCATTTGCTGCAAAAAGGACATTCAACCAAAGCACCAATTAAAGGCACACTTAAATCAGCAAGACCTACTTTGCTAAGTTCCTCTGAGTTCAAACATCTGACTGCTGACTTTATGCCAGAGGAGTTATTTTTTACTATACTTAAAAAAAATTAGCAGAATAGTCGATTGACATTTTTATCATCCTATAAACTTTATATATTCTTATATATATATTCTTATGTAACTGTGACCAAGGCAAGCCTTTAAAAATGATTTTATCTCATTAGGTCTATGCTCTCCATGGCATACAATATAAACAAATTATTATAGGTGGTATAGAAAAAGCAGGAGTCAAAGATTTAATTTTGAGCTCTGGCAGGTCTAGCCACATCATTTCTGAACCTTAGTTTCCTCATCTGTAAAATGGGTTTTTCATACCTATCTTCGGGAGTGCTACAAAGAGTGAGATGGATACTCTATGTAAAGATTGCTGCCTTGCTGAGCACATAAGCATTTAATACACATTGATTTCCTTTGTAGACTGATGGCTAATGGTGGTGTCTTGGAGAGAACTCACACTTATATACCTTATTCTCTCCCAGGCAATCAGGCAATGGTCCTTTGCTAGGCTAACTCAATGAGTGACTCTAGTAGTGTAGATTTATAGATAAAGAGGCAAAGATCCTTTTTTTTATTAAACAAACAAAGCTTATCAGAATAAAAACAGTAGCTACTCTTTAATGAGTCTTAACTCAGCTTCACCAGGACTGCCTCAGGAAGCCATTTATATACCTACACATACAAAAGTCAATTCTAGCAATTGCCTGCTCTACTACTTCCCTACTCCTCTCTTTGGGGGAACTTTTTTTTTAACTTTTGAAGGAATGTTTATTAAGGTGTAGGACAAGTACATTCTAGATGTTTTTGCAACTGTTTCTTTAAGATAAACATTATTTTTACAGGAGCTTTAAATTTACAGAAAAATTGTAAAGACAGAGCAGTTTCTATATACCCAACACCCTGTTTCCCTTATTATTAATATAGCATTAGCACAGTACACATGTTATCATAGATGAGGCAATATGGTTATTAATTTTTAACCAAAATCCATACTTCAACCAGATTTCATTAGATTTTACTTCATATTCTCTATCATAGCGTCTCATCGAGGATACCATATACATTTATTCATCATGTCTACTTAAGATCTCTTTTTGCTGTGACAGTTTCTTAGACTTTGTTTTTGAAGACCTTGACAGTTTTGAGGGGTGCTGATCAAGTATATTACACAATGTCCCATAATTGGAATTTATCTGATGTTTTTCTCATTATTAGACTGGGGTTACAGGTTTTTGGTAGGAAGATCACAGGTGTAAAATGCTGCCTTTATGACATTCTATCAAGGGTATATTCTAGCAACGTGATATATGGCTGTTGATGTTGACTTTGATCATCTAGATGAAATAGTGTTTGTCAGGTTTCTCCATTGAAAAATTACTCTTTCCTTTCCCTTTCCACATTGTACTCTTTGAAAGGAAGTCGCTCTGCATAGCCCACATCTAAGAAGTGGAAAGTTATGTTCATTCTCCTTTTGGGTATAGTATCTGCATATATTATTTGGAATTCTTCTGCATGGGAGATTTGTCTCTTTGCCCCTATTTATTTATTTAATTATTTATTTAAATCAGTGTTGACTCATGAATATTTATTTTACACTTCGGGTTATAACCCAATAATACTTTCATTATTCAAATTGTTTCAGCTGTGGCTATTGGGAGCTCTTTCAGTCCCCTTAGTTGCTGCATCCAGGCACACTTATCTCAGTTGTACTTTTACATATATTTGTATAATTTTCAAATTTAATGTAGTTTCCCCTCACAAAATCATATAGTTTATGGGGGAACGGTAGGTATCTTATTTTGTTTGAGTGTTTATTACCTTATCCTTAATATTTAGAAGTGTGCCTGGAGTGTAGTAGATGCTCAGTGAATGTTAAGTGGAGAAATGTATGAATGAATGAGTATAAGAATGTATCAACATTGTGTAAGGCACATTACGTATACCATTCCAAAACTTCAAAACAGTTGTCAAAGGAAAGCATTAATAATGCTTTCCCTATTTGATAGATGAAGGGATTAAACTCAGATAAGTTAAGTAACTTGCCCAGGGTCACTCAGCCAGTTAGCAAGAACTTGAACCTAGGATTGCCCAACCTTATGCCCATAGGCGGCCATGAATATTGGTATTGAGAAATACGTTATGGATTTTCAAGACCCTAAAGTTATATCCATGTGCCTATAACCACCTCTATCATTATTTCTCTCTGTCTTTTTCTCTTTCTCCATATTTATATACAACCAGATATTGTCTATTAAAAATGGACCCCAAAAGTCAGCACAAATTTCAAGAAAATATTTAAATGTTGCCAATCCTTTACTCAGTGCCTAAGTTATGCACCTATCAAACATTTCTCCCATATCCCAGTTTGCTGGAGGACCTAAAAAATTTGAGCAGGTCATATATTTAAAGCAGTATTAGCTCACTGAACACACTGGAGAGAGTTGGGTAAAGTACCTTTTTGATCTGCCTGAGAAGACCTAGAAGAGGTCCTTGGCTTTATTATATCACCTTAGAAATTGATGTTGAAAAGTAATGAAGTATAAAGGAAAGCAAATACGTGTAGGGTATTAAAAGACCAGGTTTGATTCACAGCTTTGCATTTCCCAGAAGAACTGCAGGCAAGTTCTCTAGTACTTTCAAGCCTCAGTTTTTTCTTTTATATTTAATAAAATGGTGATATTAAAATTGCCCACTTCATAGGTGAAGATTAAATGGGACACTGTATTAAGTGCATAACACAGTGCCTGTCACATAGCCTTCTAAAAAATTTTTTGTTACTGCTGTCATTGTCTTCTGTCTTCTCTAGAGATCAAAATGTATTTGAGAGTTTAAATAATGTTTTGTTTTCATGGAGGACTGTTATGGAATATCAGGAGATTCAAGCTGAAAACTCATTTGCTGTACACAACTGGTTTTGAAGAATATTTAGTTTCAAGATAAGATTATTTCTTTTGTAAAAATAATATTATTAACTGAAATATGTTTACTTTTAACTTGTTCTCTAATTTATAAAGAGAGCCTCCAAGCTCTAGTTAACTGCCACACCTCATAGTCTATGAAAAACCTACCTCCCACCCCCTTGTTAATGACCCAGAGCACAGATCATCACTCACTGTACTTACATAGTACTTTCGAAAATTTTCTTTTAAACTAGTAATACCAAACTTAAATTTGTATTAAGACAAGTAATGTCAAATATTACTCAGTTTGGGTGAGTTGGACCACGAATTGTAATATGGCCATGACTGTGATATCTACTGCCAACCAGTTTCTATCCTCTTCAAGAATTGCTTTCTAATAATGCGGAAAGTTGCACTAATAATTCGCCATCCAAACAGCAAATCGCTGTTGCCTTACAAAATCCTTCAACTCAAACACTTTCCTTGGCTCCAGCTCTCTAGTTGTTCAACATGGTTCTAAAGACGTAATTCAGCAATGATGACAGGAGGCAGGGTAGCCTCTCAGGGGGCATGTTTTTATGTGGATAGGGTCCACTGAAGTAATAAAAAATAAAGACATTTATTGGCATACATACTGTATTTCAGCAATTCTAAGATATGCATTTTCCATATTTTAATATCTCAGACTGCAT